>NC_000007.14:142506779-142806779 GCF_000001405.40 Homo sapiens
TGCGTTGAGCTGAAGGTGCTCAGCTGGGTTTGTCAGGAGTCCCATCTGTCAGTGAATTGACAAGAAACAGAGCAAAACGACTCCTGCAATGTTGAGAAGCCTGCACCTAGGATCTGGAAACTTGATAACAGAGAAAACCAATATAGACAAAGGATTTTAAACAGGATTATGGTCAATTAAGCAAATTAGAAAAGGATACTTGAAGGAGTATTTGGGATACAGGAATCAAAAACACCAGGAAGACATGAGAAGTTTCCCTAAGAGTCTAGACTACAGCACTGTGTAGATAACTAACATCAGAATATTAATTATATTATTGAAGAATTAAAATTTACATTGAATTACAAACTCTTTACAAAAGGTCATGAAAATCTTGTAGACTTGTTTCAATTCAGACAAATGTGTTCTTCTCATTCTCAGCTGTTCACTGGTGCATTTATCTTGAATTTGACCATCTGGGGAATGGGCGTGGCCTCTCCTGACTGGAAGGCTCTGGGGCCCAGGCAGGGAGAATGATGTCTCAGAATGACTCCCTTGAGAGTCCTGTTCCCCTTTTATCAATGCACAGACCCAGAAGACCCCTCCGTCCTGCAGCCCCTGCCATGAGCCTCGGGCTCCTGTGCTGTGCGGCCTTTTCTCTCCTGTGGGCAGGTGGGTCCTGGGCAGGGCCCTTGCGTGGATTTCAAGGCCCATCCCCTTTCCACTGGGGCTGCAGCATCAGTTTTGTTCTTCTCTGCAGGTCCCGTGAATGCTGGTGTCACTCAGACCCCAAAATTCCACATCCTGAAGACAGGACAGAGCATGACACTGCAGTGTGCCCAGGATATGAACCATGGATACATGTCCTGGTATCGACAAGACCCAGGCATGGGGCTGAGACTGATTTACTACTCAGCTGCTGCTGGTACTACTGACAAAGAAGTCCCCAATGGCTACAATGTCTCTAGATTAAACACAGAGGATTTCCCACTCAGGCTGGTGTCGGCTGCTCCCTCCCAGACATCTGTGTACTTGTGTGCCAGCAGTTACTCCACAGCGCTACAAGGTTGTCTCCTCTCTGCACATAAAGGCAGGGAGGCTCTGCCCTCCACCCCGACCTGAGACTCAGGGATGACCTGGGCAGAGTATTCTGCAACGGGAACCTTGGAACCCGAAGTGGCCCCAAGTGGCCCAGACAGTATGAGCCTCGCTCTGTGCCAGGTGCCTCTGTAGGCATCTCAGCCAGGCCTGGACTGGTCCCAGGTCCTCATATGTCTCCTTTGTTGCTCTCTCCTACAAGCTCTACTTTTGGGGTTGGGGCCAGGGCTTCCCCAGCTCCTACTTTTCTACTCATCATCCTGAGTCCAAGGCCCCCAGGATGAAACAGGATTTGTATTTCAGATCCATCTAGACTCCTGTCTCTCCCTGGTGACCATGTTGCTTCCTCTCTAGGGTTTCCCCCAGCCCCCACCCTCCTGTGGCCCACCTTTCCCACCTCCGCAGTCATCCTCCACCCCCCACTTCCCTGCCCCTCTCTACTGCAGCCATGAGGGGAGCACCTCTCTGTGACTCCTTCCTTCCCGTCACAGAGACTTCAAAGGCCATTTTCTTTGCCCTGGGCCAGAGCCTTCCTTTCTCTAGTGGCCAGCTCCTTCCTGTGCTTCAGATCTCAGTATGATCAGCCCCTCCTGCGGGAAGCACTCCCTCCCCTCCCAGGTAAGATCAACTTTCCTCTCATAAGCTCTCAATGAATCATATGTCTGTTAGCAACCTTTAGCACAGTTGGGCTTTCTCAGATGCTTGTCTGATTATTTTTGTGCTCCACCCAATTTTTTTTTTTTTAAGACACAGTCTCACTCCGTCACCAGGCTGGAGTGCAGTGGCATGATCTCTGCTCACTGCAACCTCTGATACTCTGATTCAAGTGATTCTCCTGCCTCAGCCTCCCGAGTAGCTGGGATTACAGACATGTGCCACCACGCCCAGCTAATTCTTGTTTGTATTTTTAGTAGAGATGGGGTTTTACCATGTTGGCCAGGATGGTCTCGATCTCCTGGCCTCATGATCTGCCCTTCTCGGCCTCCCAAAGTGTGGGGATACAGGCGTTAGCCAGCACGCCTGGCCTCTCCACCCAATTTTTAAGCCCATGGGAGCTAAGACTGTGCCTGCTGTATTTACCAACATCGGTGCCTGGCATGTGGGGAGACCCATTTCACAGAGAATAGATGAGTGAATGACAGGCTGAGTGAGTGATGAGTGGGTGGACGAACAAATAGCAGGAACACGCTACATCTACTGTAACCTGCCAGAGATCTAGCATTAAGTACAAGAAAGCCCACCTCTTTGATTGCTGGGCTCAGGTCGGTCTTGGAAATTGATGGGGAATCACTATCATGGCGGCCACACCTGGTTCAAGGCTTCCTCTTGTGGCTGCAGCACCTGACCTCCTCCAGGTCTCTGTGCTCTCCTTCAGGATCTTTCCCCACAACAAATCTAGACAGATCAGAGATCCACTTCAAGAATTCCATCCTTAAAGGTTGTTCCTTGAAACCACTTCTGGTAAGAAAATCTCCATTAGGTTTGCATCAATAAAACAGAGCCACTACAGGTTTGTGAGTGTAAAAGATTTATGATCAGAATTAGACTTTATGCATATGTGGGAGGAGCTGAGGAAGACAAGGTCTTGAGGAGAGAAGTCAGAAGGTGAGGGAGCCAGTCAGTAGCCAGGGCTCCTGGAGCTCGGGCAGGACAGGCTGGAGTGGCAGGGACATGAGAGGATCAGAGCATGCCAGGCCATGCAGTGGGACCTTGAGCCGGGAGCACAGGAAAAGGCCGAGGAAACCTGCTTCTGGGGAAGCTGTTCCCTCTGTGTGGGGGCCATGCCTGCGGGTATAGTGCCAAACACTGGGGGCAGCCTGGCTGCTGTTGGGCAGCATTTGGCAAGATGAACTGGACACAGGGTGCAGAAGGAACAGGACTTCCTAGGTCTGTTGGATGCCTCTGTATCTGCTGGTCACTGACTCTCACTCTCTCACCACAATGACCTGCCAATTGTTATAGTGACTGTTTTGTATCTGTCTTCTAAATGTTACAAAATGTATCCTTGACCATCTCTAACCCAGAATGATAAATGGCATTCTGGGAAAGTCAGACTCTTACATTTGCAAAGTTGACTTAACACAATCCAGCACAGTATGGATTCTCCCAGATTAAGGCATCAGATCACACAACTGACTCAACCTGCCACGGTCCGTGGACTCCTCTCCGGGGGACACCTGTGCTGCCCAAGTGAATGTGGACACAATTTGTATGTAGATGTTCCAGACACTGGCTACTAAATTTTCTTTTAATCCTGTGCCTGAAATCTCGCTCCACCCAGAGGCAGGGCTCTGCCTCCTGCTTCTGTCTCCTTCCTGAGCTTCTATCCTGATGGAGTTGGATGGACATCAGACGCCTGGTCAGAGTGCAGTGACCTGTGGAGACAGTAGGAGGGAAGCTCACATCTTGCTGCCTTCCTCCATCCAGTTCTTTTATAACCAAAGCAAGTGTTCTGGTCTCCCTTTTGACTGTGCAGTATGAGAAATGTGCTTCATGAATTTGTAGCTGATCAGCTCAATGATTTGATGGCCAACCTAAAGTGAAATCCTCAGATCTGCAGAAATTGCCCTGCATTTCTGTGAAGATGGCAAGAATACAGTGTGCTAGAGTTGCCTTCTCTCCAAGTAGAGACCTGGCCCCCAAACAGGATGGAGCAGAGGGGGCCAAAGAGCCCAAAACATGTCTCAGATTGTTGAAAGGCAATTTCCCAGGACAATCCTACTGATGACATTTCATCCCTTGTATTACACACTTGGCCACCCTTCCCCCCAGATCAGCTGAGTACCCAGGATATCACACATCCCAGCATCTTCTAACGAGGAAAAATACTTCACGTACCAGCCTCCTTCCTGCACCACATTGACTAACCCTGGAAACTTAGCCTTTCCAGAAAAAAGCTCTGTCTTCTCTTGGCCCAGTCTAGCCTGGTAGGTTTAATTCATGATTTATGTGACCTTTTAATTTACTCAAAGGAGAACGTATGATTTCAGGGTAAAGAATATTCATTTTATTTTTATAAGTTGGACCTAAACAGTAAACTGAGTACTTTTCTTCCATCAGCGTCTTAAATTAGACAACGGTAAAACAAATCTTTGATGCTAGAACTTCAGATCCTAGTGTTTTTCACATGGAAGTTCCCAGTTACCCAGTCTAGGGCATGGAATAGATGAGCATTAATAAGTCACTGTATGCCTGAGATGGTTTTCTATGGGCATCTTTTCTGAATTACGGTTAACAAGGGTGGGAAATGATCCCAGAAGAAAGGCATGAGGGCAGTTCTTGAGGGAACCCATGTGATGGGACAGTCTCATTGGGCACGTGTGACTGGGGGAATGGAGGAAGCTGGGGCATGATTGGGATGGCACAGGGGACCCTGACTTGCGGGAAAGACAATGAGCTCAACCCTTTGTGCCCTATGTTAGGGGCGCTGTTGTTGCATCCTACAGGACATGCCCAGCAGGCAGGGGAGCGGCTGTAGGATGAGAAGATGAACTCAGAGATGCAGTGTGAGGTCTCCAGGCACAGACGGCTCTGGAGCACAAACCAATGAGCCATGAATTGATGTTGTTAAAACGGAGGTTATAAATATTTAAAGTGTCACCCAAGTGTGTTCTAATAGAAATGCTGTGACCCTGAGGTCCTGAGGATTGAGAGAGGAAGTGATGTCACTGTGGGAACTGCCCTGTGGAGACAAGGACATCCCTCATCCTCCGCTCCTGCTCACAGTGACACTGATCTGGTAAAGCCCCCATCCTGGTCTGACACTGTCATGGGTACCAGTCTCCTATGCTGGGTGGTCCTGGGTTTCCTAGGGACAGGTGAGTCCTCAAAACACAAAGTAGTTTCATATTTTTTCTGTATGTAGGTGTGTGTGTGTATGCATGTGTGTCTGTGTGTGTGTGTGTGTGTGTGTGTGTGTGTGAGATGACTACAAATGTTTTCCTTATTCTGTTGCCAGATTCTGTTTCCACAGATCACACAGGTGCTGGAGTCTCCCAGTCTCCCAGGTACAAAGTCACAAAGAGGGGACAGGATGTAACTCTCAGGTGTGATCCAATTTCGAGTCATGCAACCCTTTATTGGTATCAACAGGCCCTGGGGCAGGGCCCAGAGTTTCTGACTTACTTCAATTATGAAGCTCAACCAGACAAATCAGGGCTGCCCAGTGATCGGTTCTCTGCAGAGAGGCCTGAGGGATCCATCTCCACTCTGACGATTCAGCGCACAGAGCAGCGGGACTCAGCCATGTATCGCTGTGCCAGCAGCTTAGCCACAGCATGGCACAGTCGCCTCCTTCCTGTTCACAAACCTCATCCTTCTCTCTCTTTGCAGCTCCCAGAGATCATTAACAGAGGCCTCTCTTTGCTCCTCACTTTTCCTGGGAAAGAGGTAGATTTGGACCTCGGTTGTCCTTTGGGTGGAAAGAGACCACAGATTCATTCCTGAAACACAGTGACTGCAAATGTAAGTGGTGAAAACAATCACGTCCCACTGCACTCTAGGAGGGCTCGGAGCCAGCTCACTGCTCCAAACAAGGAGTGGGTGTCTTAGCCTTGGCCTTCAGAGCAGACATGCATCTTCTATAGGTCTTGGAGGCTGCTGTGTTGCCCACATACATGAGGTTGTCATAGGCAGGAAACATGCCTCTTCTTCATATGTTGGGGCATCTGGAAGGTCTGAGGCTACATCCCCGAGAAGATCTTTCTTCTGAAGCCTCTTCTATCCCTGTCACCTTGGAAGTTTTCTGCCACAAAATATCAAACCTCTCTTCCTGTTTGAAGTAAAGGTCTTTGCAAATTTGTGGTCCTTACTTGATAAATACAATCATGGTAACAATAACACTTCATTTCTTCTGCCTACTTTAAGCCAAGAGTATCCTTTATTTTATTTCCATTTGCCATTGCTGCTGTCCTGATAGACAGAAGCATGCATCACCACCGCTGCCACTTCACCTTGATTCACTCAGGAAATCTGATTTTCAGACTCTGAGTGTTTTGATTGTTGTCCAACTCATTTGATTTGAAATAATTCTCCCAAGGCCTTTAACTCAAAAAGTGTTTTATTTATAATATTGAATCTATTCCTTTTTATTATATTTTTTCATAATATATAGTGTTATATAGCACTTGTTAGAAATAGAAGTACAATGATTATATTGCAATAGAATCTTCCATCTGTCTGTGGGTGATGCTGCAGTTTGTATCTATGAAATGGAATGCACTGGTCAGAGCTGATGTGATTATGCATTATGGGTTTCGGGGAGTCCTCAGCGACAGACCACTTCTCCAAGTCTGGGACTCAGTGTCCCAGATGCAACCCTGATAGAGGTGCCCTGAATCTTTCATAGCTAGGAGGGGCATCATAGTCCTTCCAAATTCACTGATCAGAAATTATGGTGTGGTACAGACACCAAATTTCTTTCCCCAGAGAATGATGGTCACTGGCAGGGAATTGCTCTTGACCCATTTTTTCTTGTGTCGTCATCAAATGACTCCTTGCTCAGCCGCCCTGTGTCTTCTGGGACTGAGTAAGGCCAGCACACAGATGGGAATTCCCTGTCTTCTGAGACCTTCTAACTGCTGCCACTTTCCTCCATGTGACTGCTGAGACAACTGGTCCTAACAGTGGACAAGCTCTGACACTGAGGCTGAACAGACCACAGTCCACTGTTGTAAATGGTGCTGCAAGAACATGTAACAAAAGTGAGCAGGGCTTCCAATTTATAGAGAGAATGAACATGCAAGAGGAGCAAAGGGTAGATGGTACTAACGAACAAATAGGGAGGAATGTGGTTTCTGTTCTAATGAAATCATTCTGTTGTCTTAAGTTAAGCAGGAGAAACATTTCATTGCAATTACTTCAAGTCAAAGGCTAGCGGCTCCCCAACCAGCCAGCATAACTCTTTGCTCTGTGATCTCAGCAGCTTCAGAGGACTCAGAAATCCTTTCTCTGCACAAACATCCCGTTGTCCATTCCAAGACCCAGGATCACACACTCTGATCTTATCATGAAAATAATGAGGTATGCTATAGTTGCTGTGGCCTCATTTTAGTATGTTTAGTAGGAAGCATTGAAGAAGTTTGAAGCTTTTCTCTTTAGTCTATGGCTTGTATGACTCAAAAGAAGTAAATAGGCATACTTTTCCCAGCTCCCTGTTCAGTGAAGCCATGCTGGGAGCTTGAAATCTGCCATGGTGGGTATGTTGGTACAACAGAAATTAGGAAATGCTACCAGCCATGCCCCCACCTTCACAGACACACAGTTTATCAGCACATTACTGGGGTATTTTCTGATGTCCCTCTTATGCCATTTCTGAGCTAGGCCAATATAGCTCAGAATTTATTTCCCCACTACTCTTGTTCTTAGAACCCATCACCTAAGGGGCCGTCAATTGTTCCTATTTCCATTCAACTCCCAAATTCTCTTGCACTGTAGCTCTGTGTTTCCTTCAAGAATGCCAGTCTGGAACATGACAACTATTTTGAATGTACCTAAAGGTATCACTGAACCAGTTCATTATTTACAAATTATCTTTCCTCACATGGAATATTCAGATGCTGGAGTCATTGGGAACAGAGATGGCCAAGCAGCAACTCTGGGTTGTGAACCACATAGAGCCCCGCTATTCTTCTATGTCACTGACAGACCCTGAAACAAGGACTATTTTGCTTTAGAAACTAAGCAGCTCCACACCAGTCAGGAATGACTCTGCTTTTACTTTAGGCTGAGAGATCAGAAGGATCACATCCTCAGTATTCTCCTCTCCTGGACTGAGTGTGGCCACTCTCCATCTCAGTCCCTGGAAGTTGTCCAGAGTTCCCTGAGAATCCCTGCTCTGGGGCAGAATCACCAAGGCTCATCCTCACCAGCTCCCCACAGGCTCCAGCAGGGCTTTCCTGCCAGGTGTAGGGCACAGGAATGGCTCTGTCTGTCTCTCAGGTAGAGGGAGGCCAAACAGTGATGTTTGTATAAGAGGGACTGGGTTTCTGTGTCTCCATTAAAGTATTTGACAATATTTTCTTTGTTTTTTTTTTTTTTTTGGTTTATTTTTCCATCTCGCCAATGAGGAGAGCAATCCCTTGGTAGTTATATTGTTTTTGGCACTTGGGAAGGTTTTTGTGGTTAAGTCACATTAAGAAATTGTGCCTTTTTTTCCTGTTCAGCTGTAACCCAAGGCAGTGAAAGAAACAGCAATAATTTTGAAAGCAGTTACTTGTGTATCTTATGATAAAGGTGTTAAGTTTCATTGCCCACATCTAACTTTCAGTCTAGTGGAAATGAAAAGGCACAGTTAGGGGGCATGTGAGCATGCCATGAGAGAGGTCAATGCCAATTGAGAAGTCTGTGCCAATCCCCAGTACTGTGGGATTGAAGGGGAGGGAGAGATGACCTCTCCTTCAGACCATGGTCAACAAGGAAGGAGAGGGAGTTCATCCATGGGAACCTGAAAAGCAGCAAATCCCAGGGGCATCTAACTTCAGGTGCAGGAGCAAATCCTTGGAGAGGAAAATGGTCCAGTTCAGCTGTCACGGGAGACAGGAGAAAGCAAAGTCATCTAATCCACAGTCCCCTGGCTGATTTGCTTCCTTATGATACTATTTTGCATCAGCGTGTCCTCATCTCCCGCTGCTCCTCTGCCTCTTCCAGTGTCATCTCTTCCCTGTTTGCTGCTCAGATCAGTGGATGTGCATTGTACAAGGTGATCATTTCCTATAGCAGTCCCTTTGCTACTCTTAGTTATATCCATCCTTATTTTCTGCATTAGGTACTGCTCCCTCCACCATTGCTTATTGTCTTGTAACAGGTCTCGTTTTATATATTTCAATTTTACTTTTTATTAATAGACATTTGACTTCATCTTTTGCTGATCTATACTTTTGGGGTAACATTGTCATTTTTGGAGGATGTTTTTGTTTATCTTTAGTGATTCAGATTAAATAATCTCTTTATACTTCAACGTCTGTGTCTTCTTACTATTTAAAACCAAATATTATTTCCTTTCATTCCTCTCATTCTGTTCCTCTTTCTTTAGATGGTAGTTTTAAGGGAGAAAAAGTTTGGCTATAACTGAAGCTATGTGATAAGAGTTATTCAGAATGAGGGTGGGATATCAAGATTGGTAACTCAAAGCAATAATTAGGGTTAGAACTAATGTAGGACTTAGGGTTTAGGGAAGCTGCTCATAAAACCTGCGGGATGGCACCTCTGGAATATTCTGGCAGCTCACTCTGCAGACACTTCCCAGCATTCCTTGGGCCATTACAGAATTAAACAATGATGAAGCTTCACTTATTGGCCACAAGATGGCAGTGTGGTCCACTGCGATGTAAAGGGCTCTGGGCAGTCTGGGGGAGCAGCCTAGGAGGGAAAAGGTTAAGAAAAATTAGGGTTTGTATTCAATATTATGCAGATGTTGCAGGAGTTTTCAGTTATTGCTAGGCTACCTACAGCTATGCAAGAGGCAGGAAGTCCCTCTAATCTTTAATCAGATCTACAGTTGAAGAATTTTGGCCAGGCAGCCTTGGTGTCGGGGCATGTGCAGACAGAGGAGCAACTGCCTCAGAGGAAAAGGGAAAAGTGAGAGGCAGGCTGTGCCCTGAGCCCAGTGGGTCTCTGCTGCACCTCATCTTCCCTGCAGGTCTGGCCAGGCAACAGCTTTAACCTGCTTGAGTGATCTGGGATTCTCCAAGTTCATAAGTCTTACTGATAACATCAACTTGGCTGAGGTTCCATTGGAAATCAAGCACATGTTCTCTGGAGGACAAAAAGTATTGACAAAAATTTCTGAAACACCTCAGTAAACAAACTATTGAAGGAAAATATTAGTAGATGCACCAAACTGTGCCGTTAGAGATGAAGATAATAGACTAGTAGAATTTTACAAAGGAGACTATAAATAAGTCTCTACTAAGTATTTGTGGGCATCAAGCAGTGTCTGAGTCCTCTCAGGGTAGATTAAGGAAGGAATTCAGCTATTATCATGACTTTGGCTTGGATGAAAATCCATGAAGTCCTCAATTGATTTTCTTGTAAAATATTACAGAATAATATTGAGCAAACATTTTATTTTTCTCCAGCCTGTATCCCTCTTTAGCACTAACAGGTAAAGCAGACACCTAGAGGCACGGTTTCTTTAGTTGGGATCCATTAACTGTAGGACTGGGAGGTCCATAGCTGGGCTTCACAGGGAGTTCAAACCCCACGTGCAGGGAACTCCGTGTGTCTGTGCTGTGCCCAACTCCCGTCTGTGAGGCTGAAAAGGGGGAGTGCCGGGTCTCCCAGTACCCCACTCACAAAGTGGGGAGCAGGCTGCTTGCTGGGCAAAAAAATCAATTCAAAAATTGGCCAATCTGTTCAAAGCCAAAATGAAAGGAAAGTCTGAATTGTGAGACTGATGAATGCCCAATTTCCCAAGTTATGAAATTTGTAGCAGCTCATGGTTCTCAGAATGATTTCAATAGCATATGAAGATATTGTAAAAAGCTTTTGTTTGTCTACAGCTTTCCTTGATTTTGATCCTAGTTGTTTTTCGGCCCACTCATCAGTTGAGCTTATTTTGATGCCAAATTTCAATGTTGCCACTTCAGTCACCAAGCACTTCTCACATTCTCCATAACTTACACAGATATGTGTGTTCCTGTCTTTTCTTATTTTTGTGTGATTCATTTTTAAATTGGGCTGTGCAGAATACAAGCATACATTTGTAAGTGAATCCCATATTTTATGATTTAGCTGTTTACTTTTTAGTAATACTTTTTATTAAAGTATAATAGAGAGTAAAACAGAAATATTAATACAAGGACATCCTGGTACATTTTGACAAATGCATATGCCAGTGCAATAGTAACTGAAATGATTATAAAAAAAATTCTGTCATGCAGGAAAGTGTCGTCATGCTCCTTTCCAATCAATTTCTATCCCAGAGATAAAAATTGTATTTATTTATTTATTTAGAGACAAGAGTCTCACTCTGTCACCCAGGCTGGAGTGCAGTGGTGTGATCTCAGCTCACTGCAAGCTCTGCCTCCCCGGTTCACGCCACTCTCCTGCCTCAGCCTTTGGAGTAGATGGGACTATAGATGCTTGCCACCACACCCGGCTAATTGTTTGTATTTTTAGCAGAGACGGGGTTTCATCGTGTTAGTCAGGATGGTCTCGATCTCCTGACCTTGAAATCTGCCCGCCTCAGCCTCCCAAATTTTTGGGATTACAGGCATGAGCCACCGCGCCTGGCCAAAACTTTTCTTATTTTTATCACCACTGACTAGCTTGGTCTATTCTTGAACTCCATATAAATGGAATCATATAACATTTTATTGAGTTATTTTCCTCCAAAATTAGTATTTCTGAAGTTTATTCATATTGTTGTATCAGTAGGTCATTTTTTCTTATGACTAATATTCCATTGCATAACTATACCACAACTTGTTTATCCATGCTCCCGTTGATGGATATCCACATTACTCCTGTCTTCAACTATTATGAATACAGTTGTTGTGAACATTCTTGTGGAACTCTTTCTTGTGGACATATACATTCTTTTTTTTTATTTTATTTTAGGTATAAACTTAAGAGTGGAAATACTGACTTACAGTGTAGATGTGTGTGCTATGCTTGCGTGTCCTCACAAAAGCTCATGTTGAAATTTGTCATTGTAATGGTATTGGGAGGTGGGACAGCTATGACTAGGTCATGAGGGATCTGCCCTCAGAAAGAGATCAATGCCGTTATTGTGGGAGTGAATTAGTTGTCTTGGGAATGGTCTTCTGATAAAAAGTATAAATTCAGCCACTTTCTCTGTCTTGGGTGCTTGCTTCCCCTTCCTTCTGCCTTGGATAACAGCAGGAGGCCCTCAGCCGCTATGGCCCATTGATCTTGGACTTCCCAGTCTCCAGATCTATAAGCCAAATAAATGCCTTGTCTTTATAAATTACCCAGTCTGTGGTATTTCTCTATAGCAGTAGGAAATAAATGGAAAGAAAACATGGTGCTGAGAGTGACGCTGTTGCTGTAACAAGTACCTGAAAATGTAGAAACAGCTTTAGTTAATGGGAAATGGCTAATGGATAGAGGTTGGAAGAATTCAGAGAAGCAGACTAGCAAAAGCCTAGATTGCTGAAAACAGAGCATTAAGGGCATTTCTGGTGAAAGCTCAGGGGGAAATGAGGAACAAGGTATCAGAAATTGAAGTAAATGCCATCCTTCTCATAAGTAGCAAAAACCTTGGCAACATTGTGTCCTGTTCTAGGACTTTATGGAATATAAAATTATGAGCCATTAGCTAGGATATCTGCTGAAAGAAATATCTAAGCTGCAAAGCATTCAGGCCACTGTGTGACTACTTTTAGGCACCAGGCAATTTAACCCAGCAAGAAGGCAGCCAAGGGAATAGATTTTGCAAACCAGCACAGATGGTGACACTACCTCCCTCTGCTGTCCTGTCTCCCATAAGCCAAACTCACTCTGAAGTTAGAGAAAAGAGGAGACAGTTAACATGATACACTGGAGTCAGCCTGTGAAGGCAGGGTGGATCTGGAGGGATTAACATAAACTTTCCAGAGCACTACATATAGGATGGCCTTGAGGGTGTTGAGTCCAAAGCTGGCTAGGTCTGTGGTGTGAGCTGATAAGGCCCTAGATTTATTTCTGGGGAATCTGCACTCTTAATAATTTACAGACAACACAGGTCTGCTTTGGATCTGATCAGATGGACTAAATCTTGGGGCCTCTGTACCGCTGGCCACTCAGGAAATGGGTTGGGAATGTTGCCTGGGACAGGAAAATATAGTAAGAAACCTTGGTGTGAATCTAGCTTCAGAAAGATGATGTGAGGAGAGCAAGGAAGAGCTGGAAACTGATGGTTTAATCACAGGCTCCTCACCATCTGCTGATAGGCAGGTGTGCGAGCTCCAGCATGGAGCACCGCAGCACTAGGTCAGAGGAGGGTGATAGGGTGATGGGGCAGCCTGTGAGCTGGGGCAGTTAGGCAGAGGAGCAACTGTATCACCACAGAAGCTTCTGCCTTCACCCATCCCTCCAGCTCGGCAGGACAGGTAGAGAGTCCAGTGTCCGTGGAGCACTAGACCTAAGGAAGGCTGCATAGGGAAGACACAAGACAGTGACATCACAGCATACCCCTCCCATCAGGAAAATCAAGGCCCAGAACTCACTCAGCTCTTTCCCAGGAGGACCAAGCCCTGAATCAGGTGCAGTGCTGCCTGCCCCACTGTGCCATGGGCCCCGGGCTCCTCTGCTGGGTGCTGCTTTGTCCCCTAGGAGAAGGTGAGTCCCGGGCACAGGACAGCTGCTCCATTCTCAGCTTTCCCACCCCTGTGTCCTCCACTTTACCTTGGGGAGGACCTCCAGGCTGTCTCCAGTGCTCATTATACATCTGCTTTTCCCACAGGCCCAGTGGACGCTGGAGTCACCCAAAGTCCCACACACCTGATCAAAACGAGAGGACAGCACGTGACTCTGAGATGCTCTCCTATCTCTGGGCACACCAGTGTGTCCTCGTACCAACAGGCCCTGGGTCAGGGGCCCCAGTTTATCTTTCAGTATTATGAGAAAGAAGAGAGAGGAAGAGGAAACTTCCCTGATCAATTCTCAGGTCACCAGTTCCCTAACTATAGCTCTGAGCTGAATGTGAACGCCTTGTTGCTAGGGGACTCGGCCCTCTATCTCTGTGCCAGCAGCTTGGCACAGCCCAGCAGAGTCACTGACATTCTGTATATAAACTTCCGCCTTAGCTTTGACTTGAGAACTGCAGGCCCCACCCAGGTTTCACTCCTTCAAGGGAAGCTTTTAGTTGTTTGGAAGGCATGTCTTGTGTCCTACTGAGGGCAGACCTTTCCCAACCAATAGAGCCCAGGTTTCCTGTGCCCTGAGTGTGCCTGCTTCTGTGCTGCAACTTCTTGTAGTTTGTCACTTCCTGGATAACTTCAGTAGAAGAGTGACTGTTGAGCCCCAGATACGTGCTAGATTCTTCGTATTTGTTACATAGCTTAAGGGCTTTCCACACTCTTGCACATCAAACATTTCTATTCTTCCTTTATAGATAGAAGGCTCAGGGACATTGAGTCATTTTCCCCAGTGTCTCTTGGCTTGTAAGGATCAGAAGTAGGAAACAAACTAGTCCATCCATTTTCCACCTACCCCCCTGCTCCATCATCACCTTCTGCATCCTGGTCAGTAAGTCAGAGCCCTCGCACTGCCCTCTAGTGACCAGCAGGGCTGCAGTAGACGCTCAGATGCCTTCAGGGGTCATTACTATGGCCTCTTCATTAGCAACTTTGAGGAATGTTAAATTTAACACTTTTTAAAAATCATTTATATGCATTCCCTTTGTCTTTCCCCAGTCTGCAGCTTATGTTTTCACTTTTATGGTGTTTTTTTGATGCACAAGAGTTTAATTTAATGCAACAAAAACTAAAATCAATTTTGTTTGTGTGTAGACAAAAACCGCTTTCTTATATAAATGTCTAAGCGTAGTTTTATCAATTTATTCTAGTAAAATTTAAGCTTGGATTTTCACCACTAAGAATAAATGTACCTGAAGTATATCTTATGTAAGAAATAAGATAGAGACCTAGGAATGGGAGGGAAGGACATATGTTCAGTGAAGAAGTAATAGCCTGTCAAAGAGAGCCCTAAAGTAGACCCCCAGAGCTGATGGTGGAGAGGTAAGTGGAGGGCAAATGATCATGAACCTTGTCCGTTTGTTACCTTGTAGAAGAAAGGCAGCCAGGAGTGGAGACCACATGGGTGAAGGTTTATGACTTGACTGTAGGTTGAAGGTGGCAGCAGGTAGAGGGAGGACTAGCAGGCAGAGGGCAGAGTCACTGGCTGGCAGGGGCAGTGGCATCATCAGTTGACTCTACTGACATCCAGGAATTATGTTCCCAATGCGCAAGTTGAAAAACTCCCCACAATTTGCCTATTATTCCTTGACCCTGCCATGACCACCAGACTCCTCAATGGTTTGGCCGTCTGCCCCCTGAGGGCAGGTGAGTCCCCTAAAGCCTTTTCCTTGGCTCACCACATCCCAGCCTAAGCCTTTACCTCAAGTCTACATTATTGGGGTCCCTCTTTGGGCACTCAACTTCCTTCTATCATAGACTTCACAGAAGCTGGGACAACCAGATCCCAAGATACCAGAGAACAAAGGCAGGACGTGAAGTGACATGGAGATGCCTGAGACTGCCATCCATGACTACATGTGTAGGTGTTAATAGGAGCCAAGGCTGGTGCACAGCTGATCCGTCCCAGCACACACTATACAGAATCCCTGAGGGTCTGTGACTTTTTCTCAAAGCCAAATATGTGGCCTTGGTGTCAGACAGCCTCTCCCAGACCTCTGTGCCCCCTTGCACCAGCTTTCACCCCACAGCCACCTTCCTCTGCACATAATGCTCAGTGGAAAATATAGATGGCCTTGTCTTCACGAGACCGTGATCCAGGCAGTGGAAAACATTGTCCCATAGGAGTCTCCCAACACTGCCCAGGCTGGGGCCCTCAGATTTCTGAGCAGCCTGTGCATGGGAAACTCTGCCCTGTGCTGAGCTTCTCTTCCAGGCCAGTCTCAGCTGGACGATGGAACGCACATAACCATGCTTTGCGTGGATGCAGCCTCTCTTCCAGGCCCCTCCTGCAGCTCTGACCTCAGAAGTCCTCTTCCTCAGCTGCTCTCAGAAAGGAAAGTTCATTTGAAATTGTATATTTGCAGACAGCATTGACAATACAGGTCTATGTTCTTTTCCCTGTCAGCCTTCACAAGTCCATCTTCCCCACACCACACTCACGTCAGTCCTCAGCCTCTTCCACGTGATGTCTGCTCCCAGCTGTCTTCTCCCTTCCTCTGCACCCTCACCTTCATGTCAATCACAGATGCCTCAATTCAGGCCCTTCCTCATGGGTCATGCTCCTCCCACCAAAGCCCTTTCCACTCCATGCTGTATCCTCTGGCTCATCAGAAGTCTCTTCTCTTTTGTTCTTTCTCCAAATCTCAGTTTAACTACCACCATCTCTAGGGAGACACTCCTTCAACAGTTTTCCTAGGCTGCTCCTCCCTATTGTAAATGCTCACAGTTTATAATATGCATTAATATTCATAGACTTAGCACCATAGTCATTTCCCTGACTTTGTGTGACTGTTTGACACTTCTCTTGCATTCTCCACTGTAAAAGGCATCATTCTAGAAGTTGTGGATGTTTTGTTCCCCATTTTATTGTCAGTACCAACAGCGGTTCCAGGTGCCACTGACCAATCTTGAAAGAATAAAGAACAGATATTGAAAGGCCCTCTGAGTTCCCACATAGACTGTTCCAGAAGTCTGGACACATTAAATGGGAACTTCTATCCCTTCATATCCTAGGATCAAATGAGTCCTGGAAACAGAGGAGAAATCCCTGTCATGGATGAGTAACTGGATCCAAGCCTTTCTGCACTACTGAACTTCCTATCTGCCCATCGCCTTCCTGCCTAGTCTCCTCCTTCAATCTCCTTCCCTCACAGGTGTCCTGGATTTGGGAGTCTCACAGACACAGCGCACCTAATCACTCTGAGAGAGTGATCAGAAACATAATGTCAAACACTGGCATTAAAAGGTCATGGAGAAGAAAACAAATGCCTTCCCCATTCTCTTAGGCAGAGTGTTCCCAAGGCACAAATATCTCTTTGGGTGGCTTTGAGGCCATGCTACCTGACACACTGAGCTATATTATGGGTGTTCATTTCCATGAATTGGTGGGCAATGCTAGAGACACAGACCTGATGGTCACCAGCTTCCTCCAGCCCACACCTGATTTTGGTGCAGGGCACTGAACAGAGACCTTTGCTTATTCCCCTCCTTTGCCAGTTAGGAAAGGCTGATTGTGAGGCAGAGGCTCCACTTACAGAGCAGGGCTATGTGTTAGTCCCTGAAGAATTGTGAGAGCCATTCTGGGTGGAAATAATCAAATATACAATCACCAAGGATGGCCCACGGACAGACTGAAGCCCCAATTTTGCTGGAATGATTTGCATCTATGCTTTAAATACGAATGAAGTTTTATCTCTTTAGGCAATAAAGACCAAAAATAGACTAGCTATTTTAAATAACTGAACCTTAAACAAACCAAAGTCAGAACATCTTCCCTAGGGACAGCATTTTCTTCTACCCACTCACTAAAGCTGTATTTGAGAAAGCTGTGTGCTGTTGATAAACACTGGAATATCATTACAATTGACATCGTAATAATACTGCTACTTGGATCAGAAACAAAGAGCATTTCTAAAGCTTGAACAATGTAAAACTGGAAACGAGCTCTCACTGAGTTTGGAAATGCAGGCACTAGAGGGTGCTCATTTCTCTTCCTTTTCCAATCGGAGGCTATTCAAAGGCTGTTCTAGAACAAGGGGTGAGATCCTCCACTTCTCCGTGGTGATCAGGCTTTCAGAGGTAGAAGCCTTATTGGTTCATAATCAGCTGAACTGACCTCACCATCAAATGTATCGACCTTGATGCTCACCCTCCTCAGCAGTCAGAGACTGTGTTCACCAGGAGCTTATACGCTTTTACATAGTACACTTTATCCTCGGTTTATTCCAAAAAATGGGCATCTATAAGGGGTTCCATAAACAGAAGCTTTCTGTACTTTGCCCATTTAGACACTATAAAGTCAGACACCAGCTGAAAGGTGTAACTTAAAAGCTTGTATGTGGTGAAGATTTTTTAACAAATAATATATAATGAAAATGTCAATAACGCTCTCAAATCCAATCCCACCTTCCACTGGTCACCAATATTAACACTCTGGTGTGCTTCTTTTCACCTCTCTTTTCTGTGTTCATGCACACCTTTCTACCCAAGTACACCTACAGAAAATGGGTTCACCTGTACACTTTACCTGTCACATGCATACTCTTTTCTGTTAATATACCCTGGTCTTATTGTTCCAGATTGGTCAATATAGATCTAACTTGCTCCTATTAGCTGCTTCATATTGCATAATGAGGGTAGACAGGTACAATTGTGCTCTATTGTCTAATTCCTGAATTCTGCCAGATCTTTTCTAAAGAGACTGAATGGCCTCTTTAGGCTTCCAGGTTGTCCTCACCCCAGCCCCCAGTTGATGATTCCAGCATTTCCATCACTCATAGTCCTGGCAGGTTTGAGAGCTCCATTGGTTTCTCCTGCATGAGGAGACAGGGAGGGATAAAAGGATAGACCTTTATCAATCCTACCAGACACTACACAGTATCTCAGTTCGTCCTCCTAAAGCATTGAGGGGAATGTTAGTCTTGTTTTATAGATGAGTCTAGATGCAGCTAGAGTCCAGGAAGGTTAATGAATGGCCTTGCCCATGGTCTCAGAGCTAATAAATGTTGGAGGCAGATGAAGGGCAGTCAGCTTGCTTCCATGTGGAATTGATAGAGGGGTCACTGGAGTTTGACAGAGGGGAAGTCTAGAACCATCTGGGGTTGTTTTCAGATCAGACACCACGGGTAGTATGGTCTGTGTACCCTACAGCACTGTAGATACAAGCATCATGGTGTTGGCAATGGGGAGGTACTAGAGAGGTAAGTGGCTACTGGCCTGGAACCAGAAGATCATAGCTTTGAAAAAAATTATTCCCAGCACAAGATGTAGCAGAGACATCAATGTGGATAAACTAGGCCAGGGAGCTCTGTGAAGAGCTGTTGTTAAAATGAGGGAGGGAGAAGCAACTAAGTGGTCACTTCCTATACATTAAATGTAGAGGAAAACAATGTTAACTAGAATCCCATCTGATTTTAGTCAGTTTTTCGTTTAAGTAGTTGGAAGGTGGGATAATTTATTTTCAAGTTTAAGTAAGCATCTATACATCTCCTTTACCTTGTGAAGACTGGTGGCGAAGGGAAGAATGGCAAGGCCAATGGAGTCACAGTTTAATAAATAACTCAGAGTTCAAATGGAGACTCTCATGGGCCAGAAATTGGTAAATGTTCCTGCATTCTAAAATTAGGGGAATCTTATTTTCTTTGAATCAGCAGAGACGGAAGCACAGGCAGTGGGGAGGGACAGTTGGGAATACAGCAGAGTGGCCACAGAATGTCGAAGAAAAAGGACATGTAATGCCAAATTCTAAGCTGTGAAGCTGTGATGCAACCCTCCTCCTTCTCCTAATGGTTTTTTTAGGTCTCAGATGCGCACCTGAGGGAGTAATTTCTTTGGAAATGAAGAACAAATAGCTGTGTTAAATCTTAATAACAAGTCCACCTTACAAAGCACAACTGGAAATGGAAACAAGATTATTTCTAAGGCCTTTTCTACTCTAAGAGTCTTTAACTTGGTGGCAAGGTGAGAGGTGGGGGGTGGGGATGGTGTTGATCCACATGCGATGAGTACCGTGAGGCTCTACCATGAAGAATACATTTCTGAGTGTGAATCAGAGCCCTAAGAATAATGCCCTTTACGTTGTTTGGGACCAAACCCACCTCACCCATAATTAAGCAGCCATGGAAATGAGGAGAGCCAGAAGGAATCAAACCCTGCTGCTTGGTTCAGTCGACAGAAGGACCTGGTGGAAGGATGTTGGCTGGGTCTAAGAGAAGATGATGAGCTCAGAAAACAGACAAAGAGAAATCCCAGGCGAAAGCTTCTGAAACCCTGGAGGAATCACAAGTCAAATTTCTCCCAGAAGATGGTGGCAGTGACTCACCTTCAGGTACAACTGGCTGGTGCTACAGAGCTAAGATGGACTTAGTGTGTTGGCAGTTTGCAAAATCTGGGCCATTTGGTCATTTTCTTCAGTGACTTTTTAAAGTGAAGTTTTACTTCCAACATTGGCCTGATGTGTGGGTCTGTTCTTATGGGGGTTAGGGTTAGAGTTGCTCCATTACTTGAGTACCCATGAAGTATTATTGGTCATAGAATGAGCAGGATTATCAGGAGTAGAAGGGGTAGGGAGAGGGAGAACTGTTAAGTGAAGCAGTAGGGTTGAGTGAAGAGTATTTTAGACATATGAGTACATAGAGGGATGAAAGCCCAGCTAGCCCCCAGCCCCCATAGAAGGAAGATCAAGATTTGACAACTAGGAGAGGCATGATTACACCATGCAGCTTGATCAAGGACTGAGAAAGCTTTCTAGACAAATGACAGGTAATGACCCACACTGTGAATCGGTATTGAACGTGAGATGTCAATATATATTCATATATCCACTTATATATCTAAAATAAGAAGTCCTTACAAACCCTGAAAACATAAACCCTCACTATTACAGGATGTGCAGGTGATTTGGATCCTGTGAAGACCCTCAAACAGGATTAAAATCCAGTAGGCAGAGGTCTCTGATTCTTTGTTAGCTACAGAGGAAGATGTGCTATGATGGACACCTAGGGGGTCTGGGGGTCTTCCCATTCCCTTCCCAGATCCACACCTAGAGGAATGTCAGGCAGCACAATTCAGAGAACCACCAGAAAAGCTGTGAGAATAGGACTCCAATCTGAATCCAGCTTCTCTCAGCTCTGCACCCCTTGCTGTGTAGGAGTCAGTGCAGGAGAAAGCTGACTGGGTGAGAAGAGAAGGGATCCTGAACCATGCCAGAGGAGACCTGTGAACTGGGAAATGAGCAGCAACAGCACCACCACAGACACACACTCGCCAGGCACAGGGAGAGGACAGATCCTGGCCTCTTGTAGCACCAGAGCTCTGAACGCCCTCTACCTGCTCAGTCTCCCATGGGATCTAGGCTCTTCTCCTGGGCGCTGGACATGCCTTGGTTTCTCAAAACCAGGTGTGTCCTGGATGCACCTGGGGGAATCTCAGCTCTGAATATGCCAAGCCTTGCCAGAGGAACCATGTATTTTGAAAACCCACGGGGTCTGTGTTAAAAACAACAATTTCCCTCTCAGAGCATGATGGGATTCCATGTTCCTGCTTAGTTGTGCTTTGTCTCCTGGGAGCAGATGGCTCTGGAAACCTCTGAGGGAAATCCCTGTCCCTGCAACTGCTGTGCCTCAGTTCCAAACATTCCCCATGCAGTCTCCTACGTCCTAGCTCCAGGTTCTATCTCCATTCATGAAACTGTGCTCACACAGACCTCTTGAAAGCAGGTAATGGGTATGGAGCAGCAATAGGTGTGAATACATCCTACTTTATGGCATCATCTATGGGAAGCAATGTCAGCTGGAAATGCACCAGCATGAATTTTATACTATTGTGATGTAGCACTTCTGAGATTGAAGGTACAATGGCATATTCCAAGCTGGTCAACCAAACATCTCACTCCATCAGCTGGACACACATCCCCTAGTGGGGTGGGATTCTGTGGGTCTCCTTTTGCCAGCAGCAAAGACCTTGCTGAACCATCTCCTCTGCTTTGCTTCAAACTTTTCCTCCACTTTGCAGGATCTTCTCAAATCTGGGTCTAACTTGCCTGCAGTGAGAGGAATTGTGACTATTGTCCCTCATATGAAAGAGGGTGCCCATGAAGTTTTAAGAGTTAAGTTAGGAATGAAAATGAGAAATTAATTGCTCATAATGCAGACTGTTAGGAACCCCAAGGATTAATTCAACTCCCTATTTTTTAATTGTACTACTCCCATCACAATGTCAAGGGTAAAACAGTTCTGACTTTTTCTAAAGGCTATGGAACATTTATTGATTTCAGAGGTGACTTAGAAACACAGGAGGTGTCGTGATAAGTAGTAGAGACAAAAAAGAAAAAGTATTGAGATTAATGAATTCATATGGGGAATTGTTTAACTGTTCTTTTTTTAACCTTTAGAATGAGTTGAAGATCCCAACTTAGCTTGGTGCCTGCTGGAGGCAACGTTTCTTCCCTTGCCCCTCTGAGCTGTGAATTGAAACTCTTTCGGGAAAAAGACGCGGCAATTCTCTCCACTTCCCAAACACCTCCCACTCCTACCCAGACCGTGGATGGGCAGGAAATGCAGGAACAGAGCCAGAAACAGGAGATCTCCAAGGAAGGTTGACAGTCAGCACTGGGATCGTCTGTGTAAAGTGCTGCTGAAGCAGCCAGGTGGCATGTCCAGCCGACAATGCGAAAGGAAAAAGTGAGAAGACTTCCCGAAGGCGGAGGGTGGAATGCGGGCAGCAGCCCCCTGGAGGGCTGAGTGGGGAAAACAAAATGGACCTCACAGAAGCTGTGTGTGTGGAAACCCACTTCTGACTTATCACTTGTCATGAATTCTATGCTTCATGGTGTTACACCGTTTATTGTTTCTGATGAGTGACAGTAATTATTTTCTTTCTTGCTGGTACATAATAAAGTGGTGCACATCAGAGTTGCTGCCATCTTAGACTTAACTCATCAGTATCAGGTGATCCTGAGGCTCAGTGATGTCACTGTGGGAACTGCTCTGTGGCGACAAGGACGTCCCTCATCCTCTGCTCCTGCTCACAGTGACCCTGATCTGGTAAAGCTCCCATCCTGCCCTGACCCTGCCATGGGCACCAGCCTCCTCTGCTGGATGGCCCTGTGTCTCCTGGGGGCAGGTGAGTCCTCAGAACACCAAGCAATCTCATTGTGTCTGTGTATGTCTGTGTGTGTGTGCGTGTGTGTGTGTGTGTGTGTGATGACTACAATTGTTTTCCTCCTGTTCCCAACTTGTATCTCCACAGATCACGCAGATACTGGAGTCTCCCAGAACCCCAGACACAAGATCACAAAGAGGGGACAGAATGTAACTTTCAGGTGTGATCCAATTTCTGAACACAACCGCCTTTATTGGTACCGACAGACCCTGGGGCAGGGCCCAGAGTTTCTGACTTACTTCCAGAATGAAGCTCAACTAGAAAAATCAAGGCTGCTCAGTGATCGGTTCTCTGCAGAGAGGCCTAAGGGATCTTTCTCCACCTTGGAGATCCAGCGCACAGAGCAGGGGGACTCGGCCATGTATCTCTGTGCCAGCAGCTTAGCCACAGCATGGCACAGTCGCCTCCTTCCTGCTCACAAACCCTCAGGCACTTACTTCTCCTTCCAGCTCTCAGAAGCCCTGAACAAAGGAGCTGCCCTGCTCTTTCCTCAGCAAGGAGAATGAATGCATTTGGAACTGCAGGTGTTCTTCTGATACTAGGAGGTCAGAAAATAACCTCTGAAATACAGGAACAGGGAATACTGGGTAGTAATAATTTTGACTTATGGATTTCTGGGATTCCTTATATATAGTTCAAATTTCCATAATTAGGATATAACAGAGCTTAGTCTCATGGATAGTGACTAAGTAAATATTCTTTTATAGAACTATGAAGTTTCAGCACATTTATATTAAACTACTGTTACCACATGTCACCAACTCAGACCTATAATCTACCAAGGAGTGGGGAAGCCAAACGCAAACACTGCTAAGGCCATTTACAGCTACCACCCTTGGAAGAAAATTGGAATCTTTAGTAAGAATTTCCATCAAAATCAATTTTTTAGAAATAACTATTACCCACAATAATGCACATTAACTCATGTTCATACATTGCTTTTTTTCCTTCTGAAAATCTTGTAGTCATTCTATGTTTAATTTCCTTCTTCTCCAGTCTAACTTAAAAAAATAGAAATACAAATTGAGATTGTTTCATAAGATAAACCCCACCTGGGAAGGTGTTAAAAGGACACAATTCAAAGAAAACCTGAATAAAATTATATCAACCACGTAGGATTCTTTGAGGTTTCCAAAGAAGATGTACCAGTTTACATTCCCACGAGAGGTATATGAGTTTTGGATGGAATTTTTTTTTTTCTCTCTCTCTCTCTGTAGATTAGTTTTTCCCTCTACTAATAGTTTCTCTTGACAAACAGAAGTTCTTAAGTGACAATCATTCCATGTTTCTCCCATTTCAGTTAGTGTTTTGTATTTTGGTGTCCACTTTAGGAAATCCTTGCTTACTTCAAAATGATCATGTTTTCTTACATTTCCTTCTAAAATCTTTATATTTTCCACTTTTCATACTTAGACTCACAATCGAACTGGAATTAATTCTTTGTAGGTGATATGAGGAAGAGGTCAAGTTCTATTTTTCCAAATGATTATTCAATTTACCCAATACTATTTAAGTGGTAATAGTTTCACCATCACTCGATAATATCACTTTTGTCATAAATCCGTCATTATACATGTGTGGCCTTTTTTCTCGGATCTCTATTCTGTTACATTGGTCTGTTCTGTCAGTTCTCGCACTGATAATATGCTGTCTTACTACAGCTTCATCCTTATTCTTAATATCTGGTAGAATAATTTCTCAAGCTTCGCTCCTTTTTATCAAGTGTTCTTGAGCACTCTTGACACTTTTTTTCCATATACATTTTAGAATCAGCTTGCTAAATTATTCAGGAAAAAGATAACAACTGCTGGGATTTTTTTTGTTTTTGTTTGTTTCCAACTGATTTAAGTGCATCACAGAACAAAGCTAAAAATATTAATAGAAATATAAAAATATCTACCACCCAAAAATATAAAATACAAAATATCTGGCATCAATCAAAAATTACAGACCTGCAAAGAAGCATGAAAATAGGATCTATAAGGAAAAGAAGGATTAATTAATAGGAACCAACTCAGAAATGACAAATTGGCAGACAAAGACAGTCAAACAGTTACTATAACTCTGGTCTGTAAGTTCAAAGTTTTGTTGAGATGGGGAAAGGCATAATGAGATCCAAACAAAGCTTCTAGAGATAAAAATTACAATGTCTGTGATGAAAAATACGCTGGATGAAGTTACCATCAGATTAGACATTACAGGATAAAATATTAATAAACTTGAAGAAATAACACAAACAATTCTTAATGAAATACAGAGAATAAGTGGGGGTCATCAGTAAACTGGGGGACAACTTTAAGTAGCTTAATATGTAATTAGAGTCCCAAAAGCAAATTTTTAAACTTGAATGAATTTCTTTAAAGGATAATTGGCTATTTACACTGAAATAATTCCAAAACAGTGCAGGGATTCTAATATATGCAAACATAAATCTATAACAAGACTAGCATAAAGACAGGTGAGGAATAAATGAACACATATATCATTGGAAGGTTTCCATAATCTGAGTGAAGTCACTTGAAGGCAGACTGCGTTAAAGTAGAGATGCAACTGAAAATCATAGAGCAACCACTAAGATGACAAAACACAGCATTATAGTTAATAAGCCAACACAATACAGAGTTATAAAAATGCTCAAATAATCCATAAAAACAACATAAAAAGAAAAAAGGAATATAGAAGAGATGGGATTGATAGAAAACAAATAGAAGATGATAGACCCAAAAGTAACCACATCAACAATCACATCAAATCTAAATAGTCTAAAAGCACAGATTGTACTATTGAATATTATCGAATCATATCAAAAAAACAACTATATGCTGCTTATCAGAATACTATGAAGACTCAGAATGTAAAAAAATATAAAAGTATGGAAAAAGATGTACTATGCCAACACCAATTAAAGGAAAGCCAGACTAGTAACGTTAATATCAAACAAAATAAATTTCAAGCAGAGAATATCATCTGAGATAATGAAAGTCATATCCTAATGACAAAAGTATTGGTCTATCAAGAGGTTGTAACAATCAAATATTTACGTACCTGAAAATGGATCTTCAAAATCCCAAGGCAAAAACAGAACTGCAAGGAGAAACAGACAAATCCACAATTATAATCAGAGATTTCAATAGCCCTCTTTTAGTAACTGGTTTAACAAGTTGACAAAAACAAAAGACAACTAAGGATACAGAAGATATGAACTACACCAACAACCAACTTGACTTAATTGACGTTTACAGAACACTTCATCCAACAGCAGCAGAATACATGTTCTCTTGGAGTGCGCACTGATTGTGTGCCAGCATGGACTACGTACACTGGGCCATAAAACAAGCATCCATGCATTAAAAGTATTCAAGTCAAACCAAGTGCACTCGCTGGTCACAGTGAAACTTCATTAAAAATCAGTAAGAGAAAGATTTCTGGAAAAGTCCCGAATATTTCAAAATTAGATAATAGTTGTCTAAATAACTCATAAAGCAAAAAATAAATCAAAAGATAAAAGATAATTTACAATTATTTTAATAGTATATTTTGGTCATTTTTTTTTTCTTTTTGACCAAATACTGGTGAGAATGAAGATAAGTAAGACCTTTCTTTTTTATTTTTTTTTTAAGACGGAGTCTCAATCTGTCACTGAGGCTGGGGTGCAGTGGCATGGTGTTGGCTCACTGCAACCTCCGTCTCCTGGGTTCAAGCAATTCTCCTGCCTCAGCCTCCCAAATAGCTAGGATTACAGGTGCCCACCACCATGCTCAGCTAGTTTTTATATTTTTAGCAGTGACGGGGTTTCATCATGTTGGGCAGCCTGGTCTCGAACTCCTGACCTCAGGTGATCCACCTGCCTCGGCCTCCCAAAGTGCTGGGGTTACAGGCATAAGCCACCACGCCTGGCCCAAATCTTTCTTTTTTGGGGGGAGAGTAAATTGTAAAACCGTTTTTGATGAGTAATTTAGCAGCATACATCAAAAGAGTTAATACTGCTAACACTCCTTGACCCAGAGTGTTTTTTATTTAATGAATTTATTTCAAGGAAATTGCTATATATGCATAAAATGTTTGAGAATGTTCAACAGAAAAGAAATTATTTTAAACTGAACAAATATAAAAATATATCAAAGTTGGTATGATGCTGCCAAAGCAGGACTGAGGGGAAACTGAAGAACAGGGGATAATTTTCTATTCATTCTGAGGCCAGAACTACTCTGATACCAAAACGAGACTAAGAGATTCCAAGAAAGCTGCTGACTAATATCTCTCAGGAACACAGATTCAATGATCCTTTTACCATTACAGCCTAGAGAATCTGACAATATGTAAGAGGGATAGTACAACATGGTCAAGTAGGGTTTATCTCAGTAATGCATTGTTGGTCTGACATTCAAAAAACAGACTATGTCATTTACCTTATCTGTATGAAAAATATGAAAAGTATATGATCATATCTATAGATAACTTAAGCATTTGATAAAATTCCATATCCTTTCTTGAAGAAAACTGTTATCAAACTCAAGAGTAACAAGAAATTTTCTTCACCTAAAAAAGGACATTTATGACATCCTATGGTTAAATAGAATATTTTTGCAAGCAAACTGATAAGTCAAAGATGCATATGTAATTCCCAGATCAAATACTAAAAACAGCAAAAAGAGGATAAAATAGCCTTTTCAGCAAATGGTTCTAGAAAAATGGGATAATATGGAAAAATAATGAATCTCTAGCCTTATCTCACTCCATAACCAGATGTGGGCAAACTATGGCCTCCGGGCCAAATTTGGCCTTTGTCTGTTTTCATACAGCCCAGAAACTAACAAAAATTTTACACTTTTAAATGATTGAAAAAAAGTAAAAAGTATTTTGTTACATATAAAAATCTAAGATATTCAAATTTCAGTAAACATAAATGAAGTTCTATTGGATCATGGCCACAGTCATTCGTGTATATATTGTCAATGGTTGCTTTTGCACTACAATGACAGAATTGAGTAGTCGAGACAAATACTGCATGATGCACAAAACTAAAAAATTTATTATTTCACCCTTTACAGGAAAACTGCTGACCCTTCCCATAAACAAAATTTAGTAAGAGACACAAAAAAATCCCAGATAATCGAAAAACTAGAAACTGAAAGCTTCTGGAAGAAAACATAGCAAGCTCTCTTCATGATCATGGGGTAGGCAAAGATTTCTTAAGGACAAAAGAATGTTCTAACCATAAAAAAAGCAAATTGTTCTTTATGCAAATCCCAAAAAGTTCTTCAAAATACATTACGAAAAAATAAATGTATATCTGAGAAAGGGCTGGATTCATATTATAAAGAATTCCTACACATCAATCATAAAGAAGGCAATTCACTAAAAACAAAAAGTTGACTAGAGAATTAAAAAAAAAAGATATATAAGTAGGCAGTTTCTTTTCATGAGACTAATGTGTTTATTTCTCCAGCTTAGATGATTGTTTCACTGATAGCATGTCACTGTCAGCTGCCTCCAGGAATTATCTTTGGTTAAAGGGAATGCTTTGCCCAGGTCTCACCCCATTCCTATGGCAGCTGGCATTTAATGACTGGCTGATATCTCCCTTCCTACACCATTATTTGATGAAATTTAAAATTTAAATTAAAATGAAAAATTTTTCTTTCTTGTTTAAAAAGACATTTGCTTTATGTCTCCCTCACCAACCTGTGCAAAATTTGAGTTTGAGGCAGGTAAACCTGAAATCAGCAAGAGCTGTGCTGTGTCCTGAGAGATCCTGAGGGTCTAATTTAGGAAGCACCCAGTCTCCCTAGTCAGGGTCCTTAGAGCTTCCTCATAGTGACTACACACTGGCCACTTGGGGGCACTGTGGATCCACTGAGTGGGTCACTGATAGCGCTGTCTGAGAGAGAGAGGGTTAAGGGAGACAGTCTTGATTTCGTCTCTGTATCAGGGATATTACCAGATGAACCAGAGGTACTGCTGGCACAGGAAGAGTTAATCATAGTCTTATCAGATCAACTGATATGCAACATGTATTTGTCATGACAGGAAGCCATGAACTGAAGCCTTGTGTGGCCTCTCTAGCAACCTAGGTTTGATGGGGAGTGTGATGAGGGTTTCAGCAGGGCAGCCTGGATAACCCAAGCCAGGTGGAGATAAAGGAGCATCTGCCTCAGATGAAAATCTCAGAAGCTGTGCGGATGGCTGTCTGCCCGGAAGCCTGCCCCCTCTCGCTCAGCACAGCTAGCTTCCCCTGCTCTGCAGGAAGCTGGACAGGATGGGGGAAAGCCTGAGTTAGCTGAGCTAGTCCTGGAGTACAGGGTGCCTATGGGAGCCTACAGGACGATGACATCAGAACAGTGACATCACAGTAAAAACCTCCAAAAACGGTGAGGAGGAGCAAAAGCCCTGCTTTCTCACCCCAGGAGACCAGCAACCTGAGCAGGGAGATGCTTAGTCCTGACCTGCCTGACTCTGCCTGGAACACCAGGCTCCTCTGCCGTGTCATGCTTTGTCTCCTGGGAGCAGGTGAGTCCTGAGTACAGGTGGGACATCCCTGTATCCACAGTGTTCAATTGTTGCTGAAGTGTCAAACTCTCCCGAGCTGAGTCTTCAGCTTCTGTCTCCTTCCTCCACAGGTTCAGTGGCTGCTGGAGTCATCCAGTCCCCAAGACATCTGATCAAAGAAAAGAGGGAAACAGCCACTCTGAAATGCTATCCTATCCCTAGACACGACACTGTCTACTGGTACCAGCAGGGTCCAGGTCAGGACCCCCAGTTCCTCATTTCGTTTTATGAAAAGATGCAGAGCGATAAAGGAAGCATCCCTGATCGATTCTCAGCTCAACAGTTCAGTGACTATCATTCTGAACTGAACATGAGCTCCTTGGAGCTGGGGGACTCAGCCCTGTACTTCTGTGCCAGCAGCTTAGGCACAGCCCTGGAGAATTACTGGCTTTCTGTACCCAAACCCTCCTATCTCACTTGAGGATGTAATAGGGAGAAGGAGGTGGGGGCTGCCACACAACTTTAGCCAAGCCCCAGAGATGCTTCTATTCTTTTCTAACATTTTCCCCTGCCCTGCTGAGCTCAGTGAGAGCTCCTGCACTTGTGGGCTCCAGACCCACTGGAAGTTCTCACATCTTAGCCAGTACTTTTTAATTCCTAGCAAGTGGCGGGAGCTTCTACTCTGTGCCAACATAGGGGTATATGTTTTAGTGTGTTTCCTGTTGCCATACAGAATACCTGAGACTGGGTATTTTATAAAGAAATGAAATTTGTTTCTTACAGCTCTGGAGGCTGGGAAGTCCAAGGTCAAGGACCCACATCTAGTGAGGACCTTCTTGCTGGTGAGGACTCTGCAGAGTCCCCAGGTGGCATAGGGCATTACATATGAGGGGGCTCATGAAAGATGGTCAAACTGGCTTTTATAACAGACCCAACCTCATAACTAACTAATTCCTTCTATAACCCATTAATCCATGAATGGATTAACCTTTATGAGGGCAGAGTCCTTAAGATCCAGTCACCTTCCAAAGGTCCTACCTCTCAACGCTGCTGCATTGGGAACCAAGTTTTCAATATATAAATTATTTAGGAACACAGTCAAATCATAGCAGTACACATTGCGGGTTTTTTTTTTTTTTCTTTTTTGAGACAGGGTCTCACTCTGTCACCCAGGCTGAAGTGCAGTGGTGCTGTGATCATGGCTCATTGCAACCTTGAGCGCGTGGGTTCAAGCAATCCTCCTGCCTCAGCGGCCTGAGTAGCTATGACTACAGGGACACATCACTACAAGGTGTGTCCCCAGTTCCTCAGTTCCTACAAGGTGATGTGTCCCCTTGCCTGGCTAATTTTTTTTAATTTTTATTTTTGTAGAGATGAGGCCTTGTCATGTTGTCCAGATTAGTCTCAAACTCCTCAAATGATCCTCCTGAGTTTATGTGTTTTAATGCAAAGATAGACATTAGCATATCCACTTTATACATGTAGAAGATTTCAGTGTACCATTTTATAGATAGGAAGCTGTGGCTCATGAACTTCTCCAGTATTTCATATTTCCAAGGATCAAAGGCAGGATCCAAACCTACGACTCCATGCCTCCAAAATAAAATTTCTAAAATTCTATAGTGTTTCCTGGGCCTTGGTCAATGAGCTACAGCAGAGCACTATTCTTCCATCTCAAGACTAGCCAAGCAGTAGAAGAAGGTCACATATTATGGAATGTGGTTACTATGGCTTATGGCCTGCCAACCTCCAGGACATATAACTTCCAGCCAGAGAATATTTGTCCTGTTTTAGTTCCATATAGAATGGGGCCACAATATGTCCTAATATAGACATATAGTGACAAGGGGCATTTCTAATACATCACAGGGTTCAGTCAAGGAAACAGAATCCTCTAGGAATTCCAAGGAGAATAGGAGTTAATACAGGGAATTGGTGGTTATAAACCACTGGAAGGCTGAAAAGTGGGAGGGTCTCAGAAGGTTGAAACTTGCGCTCAGGTCCACCACTAGTGATCACAAAGACTGAAGTTGCTACTTTTGCCCAGGTCAGGGACTGCTGGAAATAGCTGAGAGTCATAGTGGTCTTGCAGTGACCAAGAGGGTGATTCACAGGAAAGTATCCAGAGGTCATTGCAAATCCACCTGTCTGTTGCTGTCAGATAAAAGTCTTTATTCTGCTTCTAACTTTTCCACAAGTATAGCTTACTGGGGGAAACAAAACTGTTTTCAGAAACTTGCTCTCAGGAGAATCTAGGAAATGTCTTTTTCTTTTTTTTCTTTTTTTTTTTTTTTTTTGAGATGGAGTCTCGCTCAGTCGCCCAGGCTGGAATGCAGTGGCGCGATCTCGGCTCACTGGAAGCTCCACCTCCTGGGTTCATGCCATTCTCCTGCCTCAGCCTCCCGAGTAGCTGGGACTACAGGCACCCGCCACTAAGCCCAGCTAATTTTTTTTGTATTTTTAGTAGAGACGGGGTTTCACCATGTTAGCCAGGATGGTCTCGATCTCCTGACCTCATGATCCACCCATCTCAGCCTCCCAAAGTGCTGGGATTACAGGTGTGAGCCACCATGCCTGGACTGGGAAATGTACTTTCAAGTCTTCTAGCTCTTGCAATAAGAGAGAGAGAGAGATTGTTGGAGGACATTTAAGGGTACTCAGTGCCAAAAGACAATCATCAGCACACCCAGCTATGCAGCAGAGAAATGGAAAGCAGGAGAATAAATTTTATATTTTCTGTCAAATTGTTCATGAAAATTTATTTTATATATATAGCTTTGCTGTTGTCATTTAGTTGTTGTTTACTTGTTAATTTATTCAGTAGATATTCCTGGAATACCTATTATGTTAAAAATTTCCTTGGAATACAGAAAATGAGATGTAATTTTTCAAATTACACATTCTGTCTTTAAGAAGTCTAAAGTCTGGCAAAATAATATATCCCTAATTATTCACACATGCATTTACAATGTATGAAAGTCATTTCAATCAGTCAGTTTTCTGGCAAGGAACAGATGACACAGTCAAAAAGGCTGAAGTGAAAACAATTTAATCGAAGGACTATGTTTAGAGGGGTAAACAGACTTAGGGACACCAAGAAGTGTTTGAGGGACCAGGGGTTTCCAGCACATTGGGAAGCCAGTACAACTAACTGTGGGGCCTATGGAAAAAGGGGTGGGAGGGAAATTCTGTGTTACTGGAGGTGCATGCAAGTAATGAGAAAAGTTTCCCAAAGGAAGGAATTCAGGACCAGAGCTAGGAAGGGGAAGCCCAGATATGCTGAACTTTCTCTTCACTACCCTTCAATGTCCAGCTGGTGTCTTCCATTGGAAAGCCCAGCTGAAAGCCTGGATAGCACCGTTTGCTGACATCAGTCTTCAGGGGCACAGTCCAGGGCAGTAAGGGGCAGGCAGGCGAGAGTCGGTTGTGGGGAACTTTGGGTGTGCATGTAGAACAGCCAGCACAGCAGCTACCAAGTGTATGATGTGCCATTTGCAGATGCATGTGCAAGTACACGGTGGACAGAGACCAACTTAATTCTACATCTTTTATGTGAACTTAGAGAAAATTGCCTTGTTGATTGCTAATAACAAGCAACATCGTTAATCCCATTTTCTCTGGGCCGTATACCAAGTACATTATTTCAATTAATTTCTTAAGAACTTCAAAAGGGAGAACAATTTACTCCCATATTACAGGTAAAAAACTGTTAGAGAATTTAGATTTTCTAAAGGAGGTACAGCTAACAAATATAGAACTTGGACTCACACCTAGGCCATACTGACTTTCAACCTATGCTTGAAGTTACTCCACCCTATACATTTTGGTAGAGGAAGATACCTTCAACATTGGAAATCTAAATGTCTCTTTTAGAAACAATGCATCTGACACAAACCATTTGAATAACATCTTTCATGTGGGAGGCTGCACGCTAAAGAGGAAGATCCTCAGAGATGAGGAGACCTCAGTAGTTCATCTTCTGATCCCTTGGGTCAGTGACTTTGAAAACATTTGGCTAAACTGAGGCCAATCATATATGTCTTACAGAGATTTTATACATGTAAATAAAACAGAGTCTAATACATAGTATAGGCTCAATAAGTCTTAGGTCCCTATGAATTTTCTGACAAATCTCTAGTCAAGCAGTTATTTACTTTGGCAATCTGGTAACAAAGGCATACACGAATTACTTTTGTCTGATTCACCTATGATTCAGACACAAAGTCATCTAAAATGCAAATATAGTAGTCTGATAATTCATTGGCAAAAGTAACACAAACAGTTGTGTCTTAAGAGAAAGTGAAAATGTTGTACCTTACAGCATTTCCTGCTTGATACTGAGTCTGATATGCAAGGTGTGATGCTCCCAGAAAGTTGTGAATTCAGAGCAATCCTGATGGATTCCATCTCCTGTTGCTCCAGCACAAACTCAATATTGTACCTTTATCCTGGTTTCCTCTCTCCCTATTTTATTCTCCCATCTCTCTTATTCCTAATTCCTGAGATCCTTTCCAAAATAAACTACTTTCACCAAAGTCCATGTCTCAAACTTTGCCTTCAGGGGCAGCTTAAAACTTTGACAGTGATAGAATGAGATGACCCTCTAAGACACTTCTCTTTGAAAAAGGCCGTGGTTTTCTTTTAGTTACACTGCCATGCATTCATTCAGAAGTCCTATAATGATATGTGAACTATCTCTTCCAAGTTCATTTTGACTCAGTCTGAGTTTCCAACAGACTCACATGGGTCTCTGCTCAGTTAAGGCTCTGAGCTTATTTGTAACTGAATAGACTAAGTTTATGTTTCACAGCTTCAGGGTCTGCATGGACTCAGAGAACCATTCATTTCTTTCTTCAGTCATTCAACAAAAATTTAACAAGAGTATGTGCGGAGTAGATCCAAGTTTTGCGGAACATGAGGCTTATAAAATTTTAGGGATCGCTTTGAAAAAGAGAATACAAAATGAGAATGTCTTGAAAAAATTCTGTGCAAGGCCAGGCACAGTGGCTCATGCCTATAATCCCAGCACTTTGGGAGGCCGAGGTGGTTGGATCATTTGAAGTCAGGAGTTCGAAATCAGCCTAGCCAACATGGTGAAACCCTGTCTCTACTAAAAATACAAAAATTAGCCAGGCATGGTGGTGGGCACCTGTAATCCCAGCTACTTGGGAGACTGAGGCAGGAGAACCACTTAAGCCCAGGAAGCGGAGGTTGCAGTGAGCAGAGATCACGCCATTGTACTCCAGCCTGGGTGACAGAGTGAGACTCTATCTCAAATTAAAATAAATAAATAAATTCTGTGCAAGTGAGAAGGCCTGAAGTTATTCTTCATTGACTTCATGGCAAATCCACTTCTAGCTAGTTACCGTGTGTAGGCACCATGTAAGTGCTTGAGAAACATCAGCACAGAAAACAGGCAAAGCTGCAAAATAAGGTGTATGTTTTCAACAAAAGAAAATTTGTAAATCAATAATGATCAAGTAATACAAATGTAAATACAAGGAAAATATTCCTGGTAGATGTTTATCTCCCCAGAGAAGTCAGAGTATTGTTGAGAATTCTATTGGTGGATCACACCTTATTTATTGATGGATCACACCTTATTTTGATAACAATTCTCAGAGCTCTTGGATTCCATGTGCCCTACTCTAAAGAATCTGAGCCCTGAGATGGAAAGCTCTCCTTTCCTGTCCTGACTCAACCATGGGCAATGATCTCTTTTTCCGTGTGCCTTTTGGTCTCCCAGGACCAGGGGAGTTCTGGGCATAGATGGGAAAGCTCTTCCTGGGCTTTCCAGGCCCCAGCCACAGCCTCTCCATCGGGGTGTTCATGGGTCCCCTCCCTGTCTCCACTTCAGATTCTGTATCCATTCTCACTGGAGCATGAGTGTAGGAATTACCCACCCAGGTTACATCAAGATGTGCAGTCACAAAAAGGGATCCTCACACTGAGATGTGTCCTGTATCTGAAATAACAGTAGTACCACTATTGACTAGATGTAAATTTTGCACCACAGCACATTTATGGTTCAATCAATATCCTCCCATTTGTATTTATAAGACCTTCTGAATGGACACAGGGCATTTCCCTATGACCTTAAAGGCACCAGGCTAGTGTACTTCTGGGCAAATATCTCATATACATCCCTAATGAGCTTCCTCTTATTTTTACACAAAAGAAAAAAAGGAGGGTGGGTTTTCCCCACATAGTCCATCCACTCACAAGCCAATCTCCTGCAGAAATACCCTCACAGATAGACCAAGAAATGCTGTTGTACCAGCTACCTAGGTATGCCCTAGCCTGGTCAGGTTGGCACCTAAAATTAACCATCACAAAACTCATGAGAACACAGAGGTCTGAGTTCTGATGATGAGACTCCTATTAGGTGATGGAGACTCAGGTGGCCTCCCCTAAAACAAAAGGAGAAGTCATATCTGTATTAGTCATACATATGTGTATATGTACATACATGTATGTATTCTGTTGGTTCTGTTTCTCTCTGAGGACGAGGTGGCCTAGATCCTTCCCTTTCTGGGTAAAGGGTGGAAGCAGTGTGGATCATTACTTAGTGTGTTCTGATAGCCATGTGTCACTATGTACTTGTTCTTTGTGTCTTCACATCTCTTCCTGTTGCATTTTAAAGCATTTTCATAGTATGTGGTGTTGCCTAGCAGAGCATTCTCATAGCAAAAAAATGTATATATATATACATATGCATATATATATTCTATTGGTTCTGTTTCTCTGGAGAAACGGTATATATATATATATATATATATATATATATATATATACTCTCCCTGTATATATAGTATATATATATATATATACACTCTCTCTATATATATAGTATATATATATATACTCTCCTATATATAGTATATATATATACACTCTCCTATATATATAGTATATATATATACACTCTCCTATATATATAGTATATATATATACACTCTCCTATATATATAGTATATATATATACACTCTCCTGTATATATAGTATATATATATATACTCTCCTATATATATATATATATATATATATATATATATATATATATATATACACACACACACTATATATATATATGGGAAGAGAGAGAGAGAAAAAGAAAGAAGAGAAGAGAAGAGAAGAGAAGAGAAGAGAAGAGAAGAGAAGAGAAGAGAAGAGAAGGGAAGAGAAGAGAAGGAAAGAGATTAGGGAAATTGGCTCACGTGATTATGAAGGCTGAAAAGTCCCCCAGTATGCCAGCCATCTGCAAGCTGGAGATGAAGCAAAGCCAGTAGCATGACTCAGTCCAAGTTTGAAGCCCTCAGACCACAGAAGCCAATGTTGTGTCTCTCAGCCTGAGACCAAAAGCCTGACAATCCAGGGGATTGCTAGTGCAAGTCCCGGAATCCAAAGGTAGGAGAATCTAGAATTCTGATATCCAAGGGCAGTAGAAGACACATGTCTCATCTCTGAGAGAGAATGCAAATTCACCCTTTCTGTGCCTTTTTGTTTCATCCAGGCCCCCAGCTGACTGGATATTGCCATACACATTGAGAGTAGATCTTTCCCACACAGTTCATCAATTTACAAGCCAGTCTCCTCCAGAAATACCCTCACAGACATACCAAGAAGTGTTGCTGTACCAGCTATCCAGGTATGCCTTAATCTAGTCAGATTAACACCTAAAATTAACCATCAAACTACCAGCGGGAACACACAGAGGTCTGAGCTCTGATGAGGAGGCTCCTGTGAGGTGAACTAATGTGACAGAGCATAAAACAATATACAAATTGTATTGATCCTGACCTTAAGACTTTTTGAAACCTTCCCAGATGTCAGGTGGCTCTTTTAACAGAGGCCAGCACTGTAGGCTGACATCCAGTTATCCAGAGTTTGAGAAAAGATAAAATCTAGTAAAAGGTACTTAGAGGCAAATTTGAGGAGATGAGTTATAAAGGACACCAGACTGCCACGAGAATGTCCCTTAGACTACATAAATATTAGAAACAATTAAAACAGCATACAAATGAGGAATTGTATCCTAATGGGAATAAAATATGCAGAGAGGAATGCATTTTCTTTCTAATAACCTGCAAAGAGCATATGCACTTATGTCTTTAAAAATAGTCTACAAATTATTCCCATTCTGAGCTGTTAAATTGTATATATGTCCTATAAAATATTGTTTTATATACCATAAATTACATATATGTATATATTTGATTTATTTTTTTGGAGAATGTAAGGGGTGTGGCAGGTTAACTTTCCAGCTCAACTATTTGTCAGGGGCACTGATGTCATCGAGTCACTGAGAACCTAAGTTCTATTTCCCCAGGCAGGGCTGGGAGAGATGAGATCCTGGCCTGGACCTGAAATGGGCACAAGGTTGTTCTTCTATGTGGCCCTTTGTCTCCTGTGGACAGGTGAGGGCTGGTCACAGGTGGGCTTCCTTCCCTAGAATTCCCAAGGCCTCAATACAAGTCTTTTTCTTGGGATTACAACATCAGGGTCTGTTGTTTTCTATTACAGGACACATGGATGCTGGAATCACCCAGAGCCCAAGACACAAGGTCACAGAGACAGGAACACCAGTGACTCTGAGATGTCACCAGACTGAGAACCACCGCTATATGTACTGGTATCGACAAGACCCGGGGCATGGGCTGAGGCTGATCCATTACTCATATGGTGTTAAAGATACTGACAAAGGAGAAGTCTCAGATGGCTATAGTGTCTCTAGATCAAAGACAGAGGATTTCCTCCTCACTCTGGAGTCCGCTACCAGCTCCCAGACATCTGTGTACTTCTGTGCCATCAGTGAGTCCACAGTGCTGCATGGCTGCCTCCTCTCTGCACGTAAACAGCAGTTAGAAAGACTGAGGTTGCTCTGTGTCTATCCCCACCCTTGGAAGTCCAGGCCTCCATAGAAGTCAGAGGGCCCTGGCCAGCCTGGAAGCCATAGAGCAGGGGCCTTATGACCCTCAGTGCTGACGTCCATTCCTACCCCAGTCTCAGACCAACTGGAGGTCACCCCAACACACTTAGCTTGCCAAGTCTCTCTTCTGCAGCTCTCTTTTGCTGCTTGCAGAAAGGAAAAGGCATCATTAGTTGAGGTTAGCGATGATTCTCTTAACCCCAAAGCCTGGACTCCCTTCTCTCCCCTGTGGGCTTCAGTGACTTCTTCATCTGCCCCTTTCCCCACGCTCCACTATCCTTCCACTCATAGTCATGAACCTTCACTCCTGACCTCTGTTCCTGGCTGCCTTTCTTCTATGGGCCAATAGCCTCATGGGGCCCTCTATCATTTGCTCTTCACCTACATCTCCATCATCATTTTGCACAAGTCTCCCCTGGCTCTCTCTGCTCCAGCCATGCTCCTTTATGTTCAGTTATTTCCTCATATGTGTTATGCTGTTTCCCACCCTGGGGACGTGTGTTTTTACAAATTATTTCTTCTACACTGAACATATGTTCCTCCCTCTTATTCCTAAGTCTCTACTTCATTTCTTACATGAAAGTATATTTCAGGTACATTTACTCTTAACTATAAACAGAAAAACTTAAATTTCACTAAAAGAAATTAAGGAAAATATTTTTATCCTTTGAGTGAAGACTTTTTTAGTGGAAACACAAAAGAACACATGCCATAAAAAATAATACTGGATGGGCATGGTGGCTCACACCTTTAATTCCAGCACTTTGGGAGGCCTAGGCGGGTGGATCACTTGAGCCCAGGAGTTCAAGACCAGCCTGGGCAACATGGCAAAACCTCGTCTCTACTAAAAACACATAAATTAGCCGGGGGTAGTGGCGTTTGCCTGTAATCTCAGCTACTCTGGAAGCTGAGGCACGAGAATCACTTGAACTTGGGAGGCGGAGGGTGCAGTGAGCCGAGATGGCACCACTGCACTTCAGCCTGGGTGACAGAGCAAAACTCCATCTCAAAAAATAAAACAACAACAACAAACTGACATTAGTTGTATTAATCATGTATCGAAACACATGATAAAAAATGAAAAGTCAAGCCACAGCCTGGAAAAGGCATAAGGAATGCATGCAAATGAGGAAGAATCAGCATGACACCATTTATGTTCACAAAAGTCCCTTGGCTCCCCTACAGTTCCAGGCTTCACATGCAGTTAAAGTGCTGGGAACATATGAAGAGGTTCTGAATAACTGGATGTGTGCAGAACTGATGTGGGCAATCCCAAGTCTGGCCCTTAGAAATAACTTGTGGCAGCCACGCGCGGTGGCTCATGCCTGTAATCCCAGCACTTTGGGAGGCTGAGATGGGCGGATCACAAGGTCAGGAGATTGAGACTATCCTGGCCAACATGGTGAAATCCCGTCTCTGCTAAAAATACAAAAATTAGCTGGATGTGGTGGTGTGTGCCTGTAGTCCCAGCTACTTGGGAGGCTGAGGCAGGAGAATCACTTGAACCCAGGAGGCGGAGACTGCAGTGAGCCAAGATTGCGCTACTGCACTCCAGCCTGGCAACAGTGTGAGATTCTGTCTCAAAAAAAAAAAAAAAAAAAAGAAATAACTTGTGGCACTGTGAAGGGAGTCCTCAAGTAGACACAGAAATTAGCTGCAAAGACTCATGGGATATAGCATACAGTTGCACTTATGGTTAAGATTTATTACAGTGTCATAGTAAATATTCAGCAGCGGATCATATGAAGAAAACACACAGGAGGAATCTAGAGGAGTTCACACATTGGCTTCCTTATGCTCTCTTCCTCCCGGGAGGGGTCACACAGAGCTCACTTCTTCCAGCAACAAAAATGCATTAACACGTGTGCAATGTTTCTGCCTGTGGAGCTCATCAGAGACTCAACACCCCAGAGGCTTTAGTGGAGGCCAGTCATGGAGGCACTCACTGCCTAGTATGAACCCAAAATCCACAGCCCAGAAGGAAATCTGGTATTCAGCACAATACTGTTTGCAATATCAGTCTAGGCACAATGAGCTACTCCTCTCGGTTAGGAGAAACTATGTCAGTGCAGGGCACTGCTCACCAGCCAGCTTCCCAGATGTCAGCCAAATGCCAACCTCACAAGCAGGACTTTCTAAGCACCACAGTCTCAAGCCTGCTGTTGACTGTTTTCTGTACAGATACCCTTCAACTCTTTTGCCATGCCCTAATAAACCTGGGAGCTACGCAATACAGATTGACTAATGATAATATGGAAGCAGCCTGGCTCACTGGGTCATAATTTGGTGAAAAACCATGAAAGAAAGCTACTTATGGCCTGCTGGGCTTTGTGGACATGGGAAGTAAGACTTCATAGAATTAAGCCAATGAGATTTTAAGATTTATTTTTATTTTTTTTTCTGTAGCATAGCTGTTCTTATCTAATAGAGTTAGTATCTACAATGGGTAAAGCATTCTCATAACTTACTAAGACAATCCAATAAAATGGCAATACTTAGTCTAAATAGGCATTTCACAGAAAAGTAAACATAAATTAACACTAACATAAAAATAGGTTCTTGGGCTAGGTGCAGTGGTTCATTCCTGTAATCCCAGCACTTTGGGAGGCTGAGGTGGGCAGATCACTTGAGGTCAGGGGTTCGAGACAAGCCTGGCCAACATGGTGAGACCCCATAGCTATAAAAAATACAAAAAATTAGCCAGTCATGGTGGGATGTGCCTGTGGTCCCAGCAGCTACTCGGGAGACTGAGGCACAAGAATCACTTGAACCTGGGAGGCAGAGGTTGCGGTGAGCCAAGATCACCCCCTGCACTCCAGACTGGGTGACAGAGCAGGACTCCGTCTTAAAAAAAAAAAAAAGAATAGGTTCTTAACCTCACTTAGAATCAGAGTATTCCAATCTGAAACAGTAAATTATGAATGCAAACTTATCAGATTTTGAAGACTGGAAAGTCTTCAAAGAAATGATAGTCCCAAATATGAGAAAAGATGTGGACTAGTGGAACTGTATTATACTACAGAAGAAAATTATAACTGATATGGTTTTGTTCTGTGTCGCCACCCTCATCTCAAATTGTAATCCCCATGTGTCAAGGGAGGGAACTGGTGGGAGGTGATTGGATCATGGGGGTGGTTTTCCCTGTGCCGTTCTCCTAATAGCGAGTGAATTCTCACAGGGCCTGATGGTTTATGAGTGGCAGTTTTCCCTTCTCTTTCTCTGTCCTGCTGCCATGTGAGACGTGCCTTGCTTCCCTTCTCCTTCTGCCATGATTGTAAGTTTCCTGAGGCCTTCTCAGCCATGTGGAACTGTAAGTCAAATAAACCTCTTTCCTTTATAAATTAAATTACCCAGTCCCTGGTATTTCTTCATAGCAGTGTGAAAACAGACTAATACAATAATTATATCAGAAAACCCTTTCTGAGATATATTCTGACAAGCAACATTTTGAAACAAATTAGCAATATAGTTGACCCTCTATATCAGCTGATTTGGAACCCAAGGATACCAAAGGCTGACGGTAAGGAAGGTGGGCACCCTTGGATTAGGATATCAGCAGGGTTTCCTGGAACCAATCCCCTCAGGATACTAAGAGATGACTGTGTGTTTAAATTACTTGAGTTCCTTTCATTGTCTTTAGGGTCCATCATGGAGAATTGAGTTGTCAATATTTATTTTAGCCATTTTGAAGGTTTTAATTGATATTTAAAAATTAACACTTAAAAACTGTGGTTATACATATATGTATAACCATGGTTTTACATATATATATATAATATATAGTATATACATTACCACAGTTTTATATACAAATATAAAATACATATTACCACAGTTTTTAAATGTTAATTTTTAAATGTTTTATATGTACATAAAACATACAATTTTTCACCTTAACAATTTTAAAATATACAATTAAGTGGAATCACGTACATTCACAAGGTTGTAGAACCATCACTGCTGTTTCCAAATGTTTTTCATGATCTCAAAGAGAAACTACACCCATTAAGCAATAACTCCATCTTTCCCATGCTTCTCAGCTTCTGGTAGCCTCTAATCTACCGTTTGTTTATATGAATTTACCAACTCTAGATAGTTAATTGATGGGAAATTATAAAATATATCTCCCTTTGTGTCTGTCTTCTTTCACTTAGCCTAATGCTTTCAAGATTCATCCATATTGTAGCATGTGTCAGAATTTTACTCCTTTATATAGCTGAATAATACTTCATCGTGTGTATAGACCACATTTTGTTTATCTCATCATCAGCTGATGGACTTGTGGGTTGTTTCCACCTTTTGACTATTATAAATAATCTTGCAATAAACACTGGCCTACAAGTATCTGTCTGCTTTCCTGCTTTCAATTATTCTGGGTGTATACCTAGGGGTGGAATTGCTGAGTCACATGGGAATTCTACATTTGACATTTTGAGCAACTGCCCAACAGTGTTTTACAGCAGCCTCAGCATTTTATATTCCCACAACAGTGTAAAAGCCTTCCAGTTTCTTCACAGCCTTGCCAACACTTAATTTCTGTTTTGTTCTTCTTTTTAAAAATTATTACAGCCATGCTGGTAAATGCGAAGTGATACCTCATTGCGGTTTTGATTTACATGTTCCTAATAATTAATGATGTTAAGCATCTTTTTTTGAACTTTTACTTTAAATTTGAAAATTGTATTATGTATACTTCAGGTACATAACATGACATGATGAGATACACACCTATAGGAAAATGGTTACTATAGTGAAACAAATTAATATAGCCATCATCTCACATAGTTACCCATTTACTCCCTGTGGCAATAACAGATATAATTTACTCATTTGGAAAAAATTCTGAATATATGAACTATAGTTTTCATGTGGCACATTAGATCTTTAGACTTCTTCATCCTGCCTATCTGCTATCTTGTATCATTTGGCCTAAATATTCCCATTTCCTATTCCCTCCCCCTGCCATCCTCCCATTAACCACTATTTCATTCTCTCTGTATATTTGAGTTTTTACAAATTTCACATATAAATAATATACACTATTTCTCTGTGTCTGGCTTATTTCACTTAGCCTAATGTCCTCCAGGTTCATCTATGTTTGTTGTGGTAAATGGCAAGATCTCATTTTTTTTTTAGGATCAAATAATACTCCATTGTATATGTATGCCACAGTTTCTTCATCCATTTGTCCATCAGTAGACACTTAGGTTGTTTCCATATCTTGGCTATTGTAAATAATGCTGCAATGAACATGGGAGTGCAGATGTCTCCAAAAGGTGGGATTTCATTTTCTTTGTGTATATACCAAGAAAAGAGATTGCTGGGTCATATAATTCTATTTTTAATTTCTTTAGGAACATCTACACTAATTTTCTTAATGAGTGCATCAATCTACTTTTCCACCAACAGTGTATAAAAGTTCCTTTTTCTCCACACTCTTGCAACTTATCTTTTTAATAATAGCTATCTTAATGGGTGTGAGGTGCTATCTCATAGCAGTTTTGATTTTCACTTTTCTAACATTTAGTGATATTGAACATCTTGGCCATTTTTATGCCTTCTTGGTAGAAATGTCTGTTTAGGTCCTTTGCTCAGTTTAAATAGGGTTATATGTTCTCTTGCCAAAGAGTTGTATGGGGTCTTTATATATTTGGTATATTAATCTCTTATCTGACATATGGTTTGCAAATATTTTTTCCAAATCCATAGGTTGCCTTTTCATGTTGTTGATTGTTTAATTTGCTGTGCAGAAGCTTTTCAGTTTGATTTAGTCCCATTTATTTTTGCTTTTGTAGCCTGAACTTTTTGTATGATATCGAAGAAATCATTGCCAAGGCCAACGTCAAAGAGCTTTTCCAACATGTTGCATGTAATAAACTGAACTTAGATAGAAGACCTAAACATTAGATATTAAGCATCTTTTCATATATTATTGATCATTTGTATATCTTCTTAGGAGGCAATGGCTTTTCTTTTCCAGTTGTTTTTTAGTTTTTCTTTGTCTTTAGATTTTAGTAGTTTTATGATTGTAAGGCTAAATGAGGTTGGGGTTGAACTTCACTTGGGAGATTTGTCGCTGTTAGTGTTTTTAGTGCATATTCTGAAACATTTTTAATAGACTGTACAACAGAGAATAAGTAAATTCATTGACATTACTGGGAAACAGAGTTCTTACAAAGGGAAGAGAGATACAATAAGAAATAGGGAAAGACAAGGAAGAAATCTGCGGTGTTTATTTGAATTGGAGGTATCAATATGAACTTATTATTTAAAAATTATGTATTTCCTAACTCTAACCATACAATATGTAAGAAGCAATATGAAGTCGATGGACAATTGCTTTATTTCTTTGTACTTGTGTTCCCAGTAGTAATGGGCAGAATTATTGCATGTTATTTAATTTCTAAATGTTTCTAAAAGAAACAAAGCAGAAATGGCTTCTTCTAGATCCAGAGCAGGGAAAGTCAAAAACATCTTTTGGCAGAAATCAAGGAAGTTTCATGACCCAGAAAACATAGAAAAAAGCCACAGAACCAGTTTCATGGGGCTCCCAGTAGCCAAACACGAGTATCTAAACATTAGAGCATAATAATGAGGACACTGAATTATAACAAATTTTAAAAATCTATAAGGCTATAATGACAATAAAAAGATGTAGGTAAGAATGTCTTCGTTACAGAATAATGCTAGTTACTAAATTTCATTAGAAAATCAATGTAGCCATTAATGTAGTTACAGACAGAGACCATCAGTTGATGTCAAAACCAACATCTGAAAGGTTATTGGAGACCAAGATATCTATATTGTGTCAAAGTATCACTCCACTAATTGCTTATTAACTATAAAATATAAATGATATCTTTGCAATGGAGAGATCTGATGTCTGTGATGTTAAATTTAGTATCGCCAAAAATGTGTAAAGACAGCATTATATGTTCTTGTAATTGATCGGATGCAATGGGAAACACACATCAACTATGGCATGGTATTTGCCAAAATATTTAACCTCTGATAATGTGGAAATTCTGATTGGGGGTCATTTTACCAGTCAGCTGACATGGACTCTTACAAAAATCAAGACCATGAAAGTTGGAAAATATAAGTGGGCCAAAGAGATGTCTAGTTTAAAAGTAGCTAAAAAGACCTGACAACCAAAAGAAATGCATAATCTTTGATAATGTCCTGTAGAAAAAAAATTAAAACCAAAGGACACATTGGTACAACTGGAGAAAGGGGAATGTGAAGCATATATGAGAAAATAATGTTATATGAATATTAAGTTTTTGAGTGTAATAAAGGCATTTGTGGTTTTCTAAGATAATGGCCTCTTTTTAGGAGAGACATACTGAATCGTTAAGAATAAAGTGTTTTATTTCAGAAATTGAGGGTAAAATACACAAAAAGAGATAAAGCAAATGTCAAAAGATGTTAATAATTGAAATACATTTTAATATTCTCTTTGTTGTATGATTCAGCTCTTCCAAAAGTGTCAGTTTTTTAAACAAAATTAGAAGAAAAAAATCTTAAGATCTTGAAATGTTGGCATGATTTCAGTTTTGTGGTGGCTATTTATTATATTCATTTTCAATATCTTTGAAATATTCTATAATTACCATAAAACAAACACACAAGATAAGGTTTCTTTTAGCCCTATAGTGTACTTTTTCTATAGGGACAGGCTATGATTTTTAAAAGTCCCCCCAAAAGATAAGAGAATTTATAGTCTGAGGACAAAATAGCTGATATCTCTGAGATGAGCACAAAACTTAGCTAACAATGCATGTCAAGAAGCTGTTTAGTAAATACACAGGACTGTTTTAACTGAAACAGGAGATTCTGAGTTCCCTACAGGTTGGTCAAGAACTCACAGATGTTGGGGAATTGCCTGAATGTAAGCAGAGGAGTGGTAGTGCTTGTCCTAAATTGTGGTTGGATAATATGTGTTTGTGTAACAGGGAGGGGGCTCTAGCAGGACTGAAACACTGTCTGTGGGGAGGAGTCTCTAGCAGGACAGAAGGATCACATGGAGCTGGAATGAATTCCCTTCAGTCCCCCACAAACACTGTCTGATAGTAGCCCTGATCTAATTTCCATTGTTTAGAAGTCCCACCACTCTCCCTGAGCCATGGCTGGAGGGCCTAAGCCCAGTGGCTCTGAACCATTGGCCATCAGGAGGCACTGAGGTTTGATGGCGTCCAAATGTTTTTGAAACAGGGCTAAGTATTGCCTGAGAAGTTGAGTTTAAAGGAAAAGTGTGGCTTCATCCTAGCATTCAGTATCTAGTTTGCAGGTGTTTTGAGTGGTCAATGGAAACTCATCTTTCTCCACTGATGCCAGTGGGTTCTGTTCGGCAGTGAAATCTGAACTGTAGCAAACCATTGAGTGGAGAATCTTCTGAGCCCACTTGAGGGGTAGATGGAGGAGAGCCAGGAGCCAACCTGAATGCTCACAGACCCATGCAGAGGAACAAGTGCCTCCTTGGGAGAACATCAGAGAAACCTTAGCACCTAACCTATTCTAGTGTGTCCTGGACGATGGACAGGAGAATGTAAGGGGAATGTAGAAGATGGGAGTGGACAACTGTAGATGTTTCCAGATATCTCAAATTGCAGTAACACCACAAATATTCTTAACAAGAACCAGATTTTCCAGAACTCTGGCATTTCCTTCCCTGAGCAATGAGACGGCCCTTTGGGCCCTGACACAATCATGGGTGTTTTTTGTTCATTTGTTTTGGTGCTCAGGAAGCAGGGGAGGCATGAGAATACCTGGGGAATGTCTTTCCTAGAAATAGGATGCCCCAATTTCAAGTATTTCACATGCAGCTTGATAGGTCCTGTCTCCAGCCACCCAGCCTCCACTCTCTCAATGCTGTTGTCATCCAGGGCCCTAAGCTCTGGTCACACGGATGGAAGAGGTAGTGACACTGTGATGTGAAGACACTTTCCACCATGAAATTATTAATTGGTGTCAATATAAGGCAGGCTCCGACTAGCAGCTTTTCTACCACAATGATAGACAATTTATATGGAAAAGAGATGGTTCTGATAATTCTACACTCACAGGTCTTCACCTGATAACCTTGACATGTGTCCCCTAGGTTTTAGGAACTTGGATTTCTTTAGGCTGAGTTGTACTATTCCCTTTCTCTGAACACACATGTCATTGGTTAGTTCATTCATATTGATTCTCAGGACTTCTCCAATCCCTCAAGCCTTCCCACTCTACCACTCAGATAAGGAGAAGTGTGTCTTAACTAATGTTGCATAATTTTTTAAAAATTGCTGGATACTAACACTGCAATTCAATTGTAAAATATGATAGAGGTGTAAGTGTTTTAGATCCCAGAAGTCCTGCTCAATTTTGCATTTATTGTTAGATATTCACCCTGATATTTTCAGGAATTAGAGTGTTCTTCATCCATTTGGGTTAAGATATCAGAACTTACTTTCAATTCATTGGTGACCAGAGACTACAGGCAGAATCATAGTGAAGGCTTGATACATAATACATAATGAAGATTGATAACAGCAAAAAGGGAACTAGTCATTGGCCTTCAGATAAAATGAAACCTCCCAACTTTGTGCTCAGGGAATTATTTTACCCCTTTAGGTTAGAGTATGTCAGCTAGTTCAATGCAGTTCTAGGATAAAGCTGTGTCAATTACCCTAGAGGACTGGGAGCATGGAGGACCTGGTAGAAAAGAAATACCCAAAGAGAAGGAAAATTACACATAAAATCAAGAGGTCACTAATTGATATATCTATTTTGAGTTGCCTTTGAGACTTCCACGTAGAAACATCTAGCACAGGATAGGCCTAGAGATGTAGTGACAGATCTAATCCCCCAAGCCCTGAATATGTGAGTGAGGACGCTTGGATGAACTTCCAGTCTATGAATACATTAAACAAACTTTTAGCTCTGTTTTAGTTTACAACAACTGTTTTCTAAGAACTTAAGCATTTGTGGAGACAATGATGTCACTGTAGGAACTTCTCTGTAAGGACAGCAACATCCCACTTCCTCTGCTCCTGCTCACAGTGACCCTGATCTGGCAAAGCTTCCATCCTGCCCTGACCCTGCCATGGGTACCAGGCTCCTCTGCTGGGTGGCCTTCTGTCTCCTGGTGGAAGGTGAGTCCTAGGAACACCATGATCCTCACATAATCTCCCAGTGATTATTCTAGTCATTTCCTTCTATTTTAAAATTCTTTTTCCCCCACAGAACTCATAGAAGCTGGAGTGGTTCAGTCTCCCAGATATAAGATTATAGAGAAAAAACAGCCTGTGGCTTTTTGGTGCAATCCTATTTCTGGCCACAATACCCTTTACTGGTACCTGCAGAACTTGGGACAGGGCCCGGAGCTTCTGATTCGATATGAGAATGAGGAAGCAGTAGACGATTCACAGTTGCCTAAGGATCGATTTTCTGCAGAGAGGCTCAAAGGAGTAGACTCCACTCTCAAGATCCAGCCTGCAGAGCTTGGGGACTCGGCCGTGTATCTCTGTGCCAGCAGCTTAGACACAGTGTAGCAGAGACACTTCCCTCCTGTGCAGAAAACCGCAGGACTCTCTCCTCTCTACTCAGCTCACAGCAGCCTTTCCTTATTCCTCATCCTCCCAGGAAAGAAGTGAGTTTTCAGATATAGCTAGGATTCATATAGTGGGAGGAAATGAACTATTTCTTACAACATGAGCGCTATAATTGTTGCTTGAAAATGTGTCTCAGGGATTTGAAACACTTCTTGGGGACAACTCAAGAAACCTAAAGTGACTTATCAGAGATTGAGTCCTCAGGGGTAGTGATGGTTTATCTCCCATAAAAGTATGTGATCATGAAACATGTACAATAAACTTAATAATACAGATAGTGATTATACCAAGCAGCAAACAGCAGGCTCCCCTTATGTAGTTGTCAGCATGTGAATGACTTGTTACCCTTAGTGACACCCCGGCTGTCTAGCAAAGTCTCAACACACAGTATGTGTTTGGAAATCTTTTTCCTTCTGTTTTATTTTTGGTAAAGTATGCTAATAATGATGTTGTTAATGATAGTGATTATAATTTCAGGTATGTTATTCAGCCCTTTTTCCAGTTCAAAGAAATGCACACAAATGGATACCCCGGCAACCAGGTGCAAATCTTAGCTCCACATGAATTCTACTTCTCCTGAACTCTCTAACTCTTCTATGTAATCATCCCAGCCCAAGAATATATCTAGACCTGGACCAGTCAGTTCAGAGGACATTTCTACGTGTCTGCCTTGTATATTAAAAGTTCCTTAGTGGATTGAAATATTCCTTGTAAGAACTTCTGAAGCAATCAATTGCCCTCTCTGATAATATACACTCTGTGTGTCTAGCTCCATATTCATTACTCTACTTCTGCCTAAACTCTCTAATACTAGAAATCTTTCTGAAGTATTGGTTAGAATTACTTAAAAAGCAGCATACTGGAAATTGTCTGAAAGCACTGTCACTGTCCATTTGCCCCTCCTGACTTCCCTCCCCTCCTTATCCAATCTAATACCTGATGGCAAGTCAGGCTTTATTTCCATTTGTTCATTGCACATCTCCCTGTCCTTTATTCCTGTAATAAAACCTCACTGATGTGATGGATTAAAATGACCACTCACTCACCATCTCCTTGTCAAAATTTCTATTTTTTTCTTTTCCCAATCTGCTATGTTAGTTATAGTTAATAACTCCCTCATAACATTTTCTGAGATCACTTTTTATTATTTGAATATAGGACACACAGTTGTTTCAGAGTCTGTCTGATCATTTTCACCTCTAAGATCTTCATAGGATATTTTTGTGATTTTCTTTTTGTGCTGCTTCTCAGTTATGGTGCTTGAGTTTTCATGGCATTTGTATTTCTCCTTACCAATCTGATGATGTTTGACACTTTGCCAAACACTATAGTTGTAGAAATAATTTTGGGGGTAGGATGGATATTTTTCTGCAGAGATCATTTTTCTGTGCTTCTGAAAGTGCATGTAGATATAAACAGTCAGGCTCCCTGAATCACAGTTTAAGGCTTGAGGTGTCCTGGAGCATCTGGAGAACAGGTTTGTCTCTGGCTTATTGTTACTAGTGGAATTTGGCAATGACACGTTCGGTATGTTCTGGGCTTTGCCTTTACCCCCGTGGCCTGTGAGTCAGCTTCCTGAGTGCTGAGTCAGGATCTGCAAATGCCCGCTAGGGCAAATGGACTGCTGTGCTCACCTCCCGGAGCTCTTGCCCTCACCAACATTCCAGCCAAATTATTATTATTTTTTTAGGACTTTAACTAAAATTTTTAATGTTGTTTTTGATATTTTTTTTCCAACTATGTAGATAACAACAGAAAGAGTGAGTGCCATTATCCTTAATTATTGGGATTAAGGTGAAAATAACTTTACCTGGAATTCTAATTTTCCTTGTATTTTAATGTTAGATTCTTTGTGATTTGTCTAATATTCAACTTAAATGGTATAGAGATGTTAAACTCTGATATCAAATACTTTAAAAAAACTTATCAAGACCATTCATAATCCAATTGAGACATATCTTTGTTTGGGGCATGTTGTTTTTAGAGTATTCTTCTACTGTTATTTATTTCTATCACATAACCTCTGTGTTCCATTGGACCATATGGCAAGATGGGAAAGACAATCAAGAGAATGCTGAGATCTGGTCAAATAGTACAGATTGGGCTTCAAATTAATTTAATTACTGAGTTCTGGGGGTGGATTTGTGCTGTTTTATGAGTATTTCCTGGGGCAATGGTCAAAATTAGAGGGAGTAACTGATATGTGGCTATTGTTTTACCCCGTTTAAAGCCAATCTCCTGGGACAACACACCCCATTTTGTGGGGCACCCCGAAAGTAATAATCCTGTTTTAATCTTCCTATTCCTTGCCAAATCTTCTCTACAGAAGGGAAATCAGTTATACTATTTCCTCTCTTCATTTTAGTTTAGTCTCTCCTTATTTTCCCGTTTTCCTCCTGGTTCCCTAGAGAAAAGTAGATTATTTTCAACATGTGCTAAGATCAGTGAGGAACTCTCTCTTCCATGCAGGGTGGCCTGCAGTTTGGAGGGGATAGGGAATGGGTTAAATTCTGTTTCAGCATCATGTTAGCCAGCCCATCGAGTTTCACAATGAGACCTGCTGCTTATCAGTATTAAAACTGACATTATGTTTCCACCTTTCTGACTGCATTGTCAATGTCTGGGGTGTTTCTGTCCTACCCCATAGCACTAATATTATTTGTTGGCCTTTTAACACCAACTAATCATAATATCCTATATCCCTTGTACTCAGTGAAATAAAGCTCAAGTCCCTGTGTCCTGGCAAAAGAGAGCACATTTGTGCTGTTCTGGCCTACTGGCCACTAGGAGGCACTGTGGCTTCGATGTCATCCAGAGTCTATGGGGAGGAGCTGAGATTGCTCCCTGGAAGATGGTTAAGAATAACCCCGAGGTTGGACCTAAATTCAGGGAGTTGGTTTGCAGATGTCTTGAATGATGGCTGGGAATAAAGGAATTAGTAACCGACGCTTCCTCCATTGTAGAGGTGGGTTTTGCTTTAAATTGTGCTTTGAGTGGGGCTGAGTGACAGGTGTACTTTGCAGTGCATATACCTCTGAGCTCGCTTAAGATGTAGGGGCACAAGGAGCTGAGGTGGTGCAGGGCCCATGTTCTGAGCTTGGAAAACCAGAGAAGCAGTTCTTGTGTCAAAAGAGCCTTGGAGAGCCTGGCCCCAAACCAGCCCAGGCCAACCCTACCTGCTCTGTGAGAGTAGAACAGCAAGAAAGGGAGGTGCTACCCAGGACCACAGCAGAGGGACCCTGTCGCCAGGGAGATGAAAATCACAGTGATGCCACGACCATATCCACGTATGAGGCATAGTCCAGTGTGTCTCCTGGAAGAAGATGAAGCCTGGGCAGACATAAGAATATGTTTTTGAATAGGCTTCCCTTGGCCTGATTTTAAATTCCTTCCATGTGATCATGCATCTGTCTGTACCTGTATTTTGTACCCGGCTTCTGCCTCTCACCCATCAGTCCCATGGCTACTAGAAGGTATTAAATTTCTATTGACAAAAATTACCACTAATTTGGTGGCTTACAACAATAAAAATTTATTATCTTACAGTTCTGGAGGTTAGAAGTCCAAAACCAGGCTAAAATCCAGGTATTGGCAGGGCTACATTCCTTCCCGAGGCTCTCAGGGAGAACTATTTTTCTCTCCTATTCAGCTTCTAGAGGCCACCAGTGTTCCTTGGCTCATGGCCCCATTCAATCTTCAAAGCCAACAAGGACTGGGTGAGCCTTTGCTCACTCTGCATCACTCTGACACTCACTCTTCATCCTCCCTCTTCCACATTTTAGGACCCTTGTGATTACATTGGGCCCATCTGGAAAATCCAGGACACGCTCCCCATATTAAGGCCAGCTGATTAGCAACCTTCATTCCATTTGGAACATTCGTTTCTCCCCTTGCCACATAATTTAACACATTCCCAGTTTCTGGGAATTAGACATGTACATCTTTGAGAGGTCGTCACGCTGCCTGCCACACTTGCTACCTGGTTACACGAAGTAGTAAGCAATTAACTTTTTGAAGGCAGAATTATGGCCATAGTTTTATATCCTGGATCCAACAGACCCTGCAAAAGGATAGAGCCCACATGGAAATAGCCCCTCCAGTAACACAAGCTAGTCTGCAAACTAATGCCCTTTTACTTTGGGAAGTGCTTTTGACTGCAGGGGACTCAGAAGCATGCCTCTGTGCCAACAGCAAAAATGTGCCCTTCTCTTTTGTTGGCAAGTAACTTAACCAACCAACCCAAAAAAAAGATCTTTCTCTCAGCTTTCCATAATCTCTGAGACGAAGTAGGTTTGGAGAAGTGGGGTTACAGGGGAAAAAGCCAGGTGTTAATGATGAAAAAACATTGAACTTTTCTAGGGGTAGTAATAAGATTTAATTCAAGACTAGAACATTTTAGCTGCAAATCTTCAAGAATAAGACAATATTATCCCCTTTCTGTTTTATTGTGGGACTAGAGAATGTGAGAGAGGTTACATTCCATGGGCTTTGGGAATTTAATATGGTTCAAGGATAAACACACCCAGGTTTTTCACTGCAGAGAAGAGCTTCAAATATAATCAGTTTTCAGGTCATCAGCTCAGCTCTTGTATCCCTAACAATGCAGTTGACATGCGTCTTCTCAGATGTCTAACTCCTAACTCACTGAGGGATACTTTAAGTACATATAAAGGACTAGAAGCACCAAGCTACCAGTGAGAGGAAGAGGAGAGTTTGCAGAGAAGCTGGCTTGAAATAAGACAATGAGTTCATCTTTAAATACTTGCCATTTGAGGTGCAGATGGATATAGTTGGCAGGCTCCTATGTAAGGCATGTTATGGAGAAGCTACCGTGAATTGATAATATCAAAACAAATATCCAGGGAGCCTCTGCAAGTGTGCATCTCTATTTCACACCAATTATAGTTGAGTTAATTCCTGCCTGATTCATCTCCCAGAGATGCAGCCTCCTCTTAAAGAAGTTGGGGGTGGTGGCCCATTCAGTGATGTCACTGACAGATGCATTCTGTGGGGATAAAATGTCACAAAATTCATTTCTTTGCTCATGCTCACAGAGGGCCTGGTCTAGAATATTCCACATCTGCTCTCACTCTGCCATGGACTCCTGGACCTTCTGCTGTGTGTCCCTTTGCATCCTGGTAGCGAGTGAGTCTTCAGAATATTTGCCATCATCAGGCTGGGCTTCTGCATGGATGATCTCATATATTTTCCTTATTCTGACGCCCAATTCTGTCTTCTTTCATAGAGCATACAGATGCTGGAGTTATCCAGTCACCCCGCCATGAGGTGACAGAGATGGGACAAGAAGTGACTCTGAGATGTAAACCAATTTCAGGCCACAACTCCCTTTTCTGGTACAGACAGACCATGATGCGGGGACTGGAGTTGCTCATTTACTTTAACAACAACGTTCCGATAGATGATTCAGGGATGCCCGAGGATCGATTCTCAGCTAAGATGCCTAATGCATCATTCTCCACTCTGAAGATCCAGCCCTCAGAACCCAGGGACTCAGCTGTGTACTTCTGTGCCAGCAGTTTAGCCACAGCGCTGCAGAATCACCCCTTTCCTGTGCAGAAAACCCGGTGTTTCCCCTTCTCCTTCTACCTCCCAGCAGTCCTGGGCAAAGTCTCTGCTGTTCCTCCCTCCCTATGAGAAAAAAGTGGTTTGGGGGTATGAAAAAGACAGAAAATGAGAAGGGATCAACATAGGAAACCTTATGTTGGTTTGAGGATTACAAAATGGGTTTTGAGGATTCCTTAAAAATTGTCTCTGCTCAAAACACATAGGAGTAAGATAAACCTTGGCTACTGACACTGGAGATTTCCCTGCCCTCCTGCATTTGCCATCCCATGAGAATGGTGGGGGCTCTTGAGAAGGGCTGCATTTTCTGAACTGTGAGGCCCTCTTCATTCTCTCCTAACTCTAAGCTGCAAACAGAAATTTCCCTCACACGTTTTCTAGATTGTAAAAGAAAGTTCTTCTTTACTATGATTGTGGACGTTCCTTTATAATGCCAATTTCAACTTTACATTACTTCAGGATTTTTCACTACTCCTAAAGAGTGTCTCAAATGTGGCTAGAGCAAGCAGGTTAGTACACTAGATGTAAGCTACCTGGCCTGGAATCTAAGGATCCATTTGTCTCTGTTCTGCGTAAGATGAGCCGGGTGCTGGCCAAAGGCTGTGCACACTCACAGAGCACTGATGACGCCTCCTGGTAAGGACCCACACTGGGGTATCTAAAAGCAGACAGGCATGTCCAGTCTTCTGTTGCCCTGTTTCCTTTCTGATTATATGTCCTTAACACACAAATTTACATTTTCCTTCTTATTTATATGAGAAGTTTCTATACAATACCTGCAATCCATTCTGAGTGGTTATAATTTCTGTGTGATATTCATATTTACATGCTGATTCCTTCTAAATACCTATCATGGTATCATTGACAACTGAGGCAAAAGACCCCTATATTTTGAGTGCCCAAGGCCATTGAGGTTTTTTGGAGCTCTGCCATAAGCCCAATTCCACTGTGTCATTTTCCTATTTTTCTTTCCTTTTTTTTTTTTTGATTAGTGGGTCCTGACTTTCAAGATGAAAATAGTGCAGAATTCCTCCCTGCTGCTTCCAGATCATTTTCCTTCCTACTTCTCTAAAGCCCAGCTGCATTATAGGCTTCCTTTAGCCTGATTTTAAATTCCTTCCATGTGATCATGCATCTGTCTCTACCTGTATCTTGTATCTGGCTTCTGCCTCTTACCCATCAATCCCATGGCTACTAGAAGGTATTCAATCTCTGTTGACACAAATTACTACTAACTTGGTGGTTTACAACAAAAACTAATTATCTTACAGTTCTGCAGGTCAGAAGTCCAAAACCGGGATAAAATCCAGGTGTTGGCAGGGCTGCATTCCATCCTGAGGCTCTCGGGGAGAACTGTTTTTCTCTCCTTTTCAACTTCTAGAGGCCACCAGTGTTCCTTGGCTCATGGCCCCATTCGATCTTCAAAGTCAACAAGGACTGGCTGAGCCTTTGCTCACTCTGCATCACTCTGACACTCACTCTTCGTCCCCCCTCTTCCACATTTTAGGACACTTGTGATTACATTGGGCCCACCTGGAAAATCCAGGATACACTCCCTATATTAAGGCCAGCTGACTAGCAACCTTCATTCCATTTGGAACATTCCTTTCTCCCCTTGCCACATAATTTAACACATTCCCAGTTTCTGGGAATTAGACATGGACATCTTTGGGAGGTTGTCATGCTGCCTGCCACACTTGGTACCTGGTTACAGGGAGTGGTAAGTAATTAAATTTTTTAAAACAGAATTATGACCACAGTTTTGTATCCTGGGTCCAACAGACCCTGCAAAAGGATAGAGCCCAAAGGGAAATAGGCCCCTCCAGAAACACAAGCTAGTCTGCAAACTAATGCCCTTTAACATTGGCAAGTGCTTTCAACTGCATGGGACTCAGAAGCATGCCTCTGTGCCAAGAGCAAAAATATGCCCTTTTATGGCAAGTAAGTTAATTGATCAACTCAAAAAACAAACATTTCTCTCAGCTTTCCAGAACCTCTGAGAGGAAGTAGGTTTGGAGAAGTGGGATTAAGGGGTTGGCAGGGGGCCGGAGGAAAGGTCAGGTGTTAATGATGAAAAAACATTGAACTTTTCTTTTCTAGGGGTAGTAATAAGATATAATTCAAGACTAGAACATTGTAGCTGCAAATCTTCAAAATAAGACAATCTTATCCTCTGTTTTATTGTGGGAATAGAGAATGGAGAGAAGTTCCATTCCACGGGCTTTGGGAATTCAATATGGTTCAAGGATAAATAAACCCAGGTTTTTTCTACTGCAGAGAAGAGCTTCAAATATAATCAGTTCTCAGGGCATCAGCTCAGTTCCTCTATCCCTAACAATGCAGTTGACATGCATCTTCTCAGATGCCTAACTCCTAACTCGCTGATGGATAATTTAGGTACACATAGAGGACTAGAAACACCAAGCCACCAGTGAGAGGAAGAGGAGAGTTTGCAGAGAAGCTGGCTTGCAATAAGACAATGAGTTCATCTTTAATTACCTGCAATTTGAGGAGATATATATAGTTGGCAAGCTCCTAGGTAAGGCATGTTATGGAGAAGCTACCGTGAATTGATAATATCAAAATAAATCTTAAGGGAGCCTCTGCATGTGTGCATTTGTATCTCAGATCTGCTATAGTTGAGTTAATTCCTGCCTGATTCATCTCCCAGAGATGCAGCCTCCTCTTAAAGTTGGGGGTGGTGGCCCATTCAGTGATGTCACTGACAGATGCATTCTGTGGGGATAAAATGTCACAAAATTCATTTCTTTGCTCATGTTCACAGAGGGCCTGGTCTGGAATATTCCACATCTGCTCTCACTCTGCCATGGGCTCCTGGACCCTCTGCTGTGTGTCCCTTTGCATCCTGGTAGCAAGTGAGTCTTCAGAACATTTACCATCATCAGGCTGGGCTTCTGCATGGATGATCTCATATATTTTCCTTATTCTGACGCCCAATTCTGTCTTCCTTCATAGAGCACACAGATGCTGGAGTTATCCAGTCACCCCGGCACGAGGTGACAGAGATGGGACAAGAAGTGACTCTGAGATGTAAACCAATTTCAGGACACGACTACCTTTTCTGGTACAGACAGACCATGATGCGGGGACTGGAGTTGCTCATTTACTTTAACAACAACGTTCCGATAGATGATTCAGGGATGCCCGAGGATCGATTCTCAGCTAAGATGCCTAATGCATCATTCTCCACTCTGAAGATCCAGCCCTCAGAACCCAGGGACTCAGCTGTGTACTTCTGTGCCAGCAGTTTAGCCACAGCGCTGCAGAATCACCCCTTTCCTGTGCAGAAACCCTGGTGTTTCTCCTTCTCCTTCTACCTCCCAGCAGTCCTGGGCAAAGTCTTTCCTGTTCCTCCCTCCCCATGAGAAAAAGTGGTTTTGGGTTGTGACAAAGACAGAAAATGAGGTTTCAACATAGGAAACCTTATGTTGATTTGAGGATTATGAAATGGGTTTTGAGGATTCCTTAAAAAATTGTCTCTGCTCAAAACACATAGGAGTAAGATAAACCTTGGCTACTGACACTGGAGATTTCCCTGCCCTCCTGCATTTGCCATCCCATGAGAATGGTGGGAGCTCCCGAGAAAGGCTGCATTTTCTGAACTGTGAGGCCCTCTTCATTCTCTCCTAACTCTAAGCTGCAAACAGAAATTTCCCTCACACGTTTTCTAGATTGTAAAAGAAAGTTCTTCTTTACTATGATTGTGGACATTCCTTTATAATGCCAATTTCAACTTTACATTTACTTCAGGATTTTTCACTACTCCTAAAGAGTGTCTCAAATGTGGCTAGAGCAAGCAGGTTAGTACACTAGATGTAAGCTACCTGGCCTGGAATCTAAGGATCCATTTGTCTCTGTTCTGCGTAAGATGAGCCGGGTGCTGGCCAAAGGCTTTGCACACTCACAGAGCACTGATGACGCCTCCTGGTAAGGACCCACACTGGGGTATCTAAAAGCAGACAGGCATGTCCAGTCTTCTGTTGCCCTGTTTCCTTTCTGATTACATGTCCTTAACACACAAATTTACATTTTTCTTCTTATTTATATGAGAAGTTTCTATACAATACCTGCAATCCATTCTGAGTGGTTATAATTTCTGTGTGATATTCATATTTACATACTGATTCCTTCTAAATCCCTATCATGGTATCATTGACAAGTGAGGCGAATGATCCCTGTATTTTGAGTGCCCAAGGCACTTGAGGTTTTTTGGAGTTCTGCCATATGCCAAATTCCACTTTGTCATTTTCCCATTTTTTTTTTTTTTTTACGTGTAGGGATCCTGACTTTTAAGATGGAAATAGTGCAGAATTCCTCCCTGTGCTTCCAGATCATTTTCTCCCTCCTACTTTAAAGCCCAGCTGCTTTGTACATATTACTTTATAATATTACCCCTTCTCATTGTACCTACCTTATTACCTTCAGAAATTTTCTTTTTTTTAATCCTTCTGCCTGCTACTAATCCAGTCATCATTCTTAATACTATTCATCACATAGACAATTTATTCACTCGCGAGGCTTCTAAGTTTCTCGACTTCCTATATCCTGAGTCTTTTTCCCCTCTAATCATTTTCAGACTTGTTTCCATGATTATAGACCATTAAGGAACAACAAAGATCTTTCAATATTTCTATTTAAATTGTCCTGTCGTTCTACCACTACCTCCCTTCTGTCTATATCAGTAACTCCTACAATTCTTCTATTTCTCTGACCTCTCCAGTTCATAGAGCCCATAACTTTTATTTTTTTAATTTTTTTTTGGTCTTTCTAGGATGTTATTTATTAAAAATAGATTCTCTGTCCCTACCCTCACCCCTGCTGGCAAAATGGCCTTTCCCAACATCTTTTCCTGCATGGATAACAGGTCTTGAGGACGCAGATGTGGCATCCTACCTAAACTACAGGCTCAGGCTTTTCTGGGACAGTGAGGCAGCAGCTCTGCCAGAGCCAAGGGTGGAACAGCACAAGACGACATCAGCAAACCCTGGTGCACCTAACTGTGGGCTGCTATGGAGTCTGGGATGGACTGGAGTTCCTCCTGCTCCAGGCCTCGGGAGACAAAATCCACAAAGAGAGACCCAGTGGCCCAGCAGCAGCCCCCTGAGAGCCCACAACTTTTTAACTCTTACGCTTTAATTCTTACATTCTTTTAATTATATTTTAAGATTTAAGACTATAATATCAACCCCGATTAAAGCCAACTCCCCGTAGGTTCCTATGAATGGCAGAGTTGGGAGGGGCACTAAAAAATCCCCGTGGGAACTCATTCGATTTATCTTCTGTAGTTGTCATAGACTCCTCTTAGGTTCCTCTACTTCTAATCTTGGCCTCCCTCATTCTAGCCACCAACCCAGGGTCTACTCTCAATACAGAAGTCAGAGTGATCCTTTAGGTTAGATGTTGTCACTCGTCCACTAAACCATACAGTAGATTCCCGTTTCACTCAGAGAAAAGCCTACAGCCTGCATAGGCCTACGAGGTCCTCGGTGATCCCCCTCCCTGTTGTATTTCTTGCCTCCTGTCTGTTCCTCTTTCCCTTGCTTATTTTTTCACAACACAGTGGCTTTCTGGCCATTCCTCGAATACACAAGGCACACTTCTGCCTTAGAACCTTTGCTCAAGCTATTCCCTTTGCTTGGAACATCCTTCTCCCAAGTATCCCAGTCAGGCCTGCAAGAAGCCTGAATTATTCTACCAGTGACACAATCATTTTCCTAAAACCACTTTTCAATTTTTATACATTCAACAATTCTCCATTGTTCACCAGATAAAAATGTCACCTCGGGAGGGCATTTGAATTTTAAAACATTTGGACCATATCTTATCTTATTTTTGACTACTGAGTAAGATAAATGTTACTTTATCAAGTGCACTTCATACCCTTACAAAACAGTCTTACACAATTTAATGCCTGTTCATACATTTGTTCTTGCAATTTCTGCTACCTTCTTCATATTGTTCAATACTTCTAGTCACTCAAGACACTACTGAATGCTTCTTTCTCTATGAAGCAGGAAATGGTTCTATATACTCTATTTTCACAGTGGAGTAAAATAGATACACATTTTAGGAACAAAACAACCATGCAGATTATAGAAATTAAACTATTTTTTACATACTTTCGAAGGTGAGGAAGTTCAGAAGCTCAAATATGGTTAAGATATGTTTTGCTTCTATTTAAGTCCACATTCCCCACCACTTTAAATCTTCCAAGAAAGATTTCCCTCATTCAAATTAAAAACATTTTGATACAAGACTGGGGGCAGGGAAGTGCTGGGTAGAGAAGGGCGGGGTCCCTGGTGAGGGCTCCACCCTCGGGCCTGTGCCCACAGACCTAAATGAGGACAGGCGTTTCTGTTTTTGCACTCAAAAAGTTGCCTTTTGGCCCGCCACGCCTCCCATCCTGTGCCCATATAAACCCGAGACCTTAAGCGGACACGGACACAAGAGGCTGGACATCTAGAAGAGCAGAAGAATACAGCAGCAGACACCGGCAGATCAGCGATGGCGGAAGGACACGAATGCGAGGGGAGTTCAGCCAGGGGAAGTCTGCGAGAGTCCTGCCACTGGGCAGCCAACTGCAGGGGAAAACCACCGTTCCACTCCATCCCTCGACTTCTGGCTCCCCATCTATCTCACTGAGAGCCACTTACACCACTTAATAAAAGCTTGCACTCAACCTTTCAGCCCACATATGATCTGATTCTTCCAGTACACTGGTCAAGAGCTCAGGCTGTCACATTGGCCCCCTGTCCTTGCAATAAGCAGAGGGTCTATTGAGTTGACTAATGCAAGCAGACGGCAGACGGCATAGCTGAAAGAGTGCACTATAAGTCCTAGACGGTGCCATCCCTTGGGAGCCCAAAAGCACTCCCCATGGCCTCTGCACCTGCCCGTCTGCATGCTCCCCCTAGGGGTTTGAGCACTGGGGCACCAGTGAAGTGAGCCATCCCCCTGTCACATGTCCTGCGAGGAGGATAAGGGAATTCTCCGGTTTTAACTTAATCTGTAAAAGACCTTGTTAAGAGGATGAAAAAGAAGCCACAGCAATGGATAAAACATTTGTAAACTACATATCCAACAAAGGAATATTATGACTGTTTCGAGATTTGCAGAACTGTCTATTTAACCCATAGACTCATGAGCAATAATAAATTATTATTGCTTTAACCAGTGAGATTTGAGTGAGGCTTGTTATACAGCATTACTGTGCAGGTGTCAATTGATATACTCTATATTGCAATATCGATTTCTTAAAATTGTCCTAACCATAATCCTATAGACCATTACTAATTCCAAGCTTGTTCTTTTTATGAAGAGTGTCGCTCAACTCTGATGTCTTTGTTCTGTTTAATATTTTGATTTACACATGAACACAGTTCCCAGCAGCTTTCAAACCTCCAGAAGCCCTTAACATTTCTGATTCTGAAAAATATCTTTTCTTGTTTTCAGCATTTTTTATTGTTATTTTTTATTCTTTTGTATGGGAAGGTACTCAGTTTACCATCCTGAATTAGTAATTCTTTAAACATTTTTGCAATTCCAGTAATTAGAGATATTACTGCATTAGGCATTGAAGATACCATGGTCTTTGCATTTCCTGCTTGCATATCGAGTCCTATGAACTATTTCTGGTGTCTCTGAGTCACTTCCCAGTGTGGTCATTGGCTTTTACTGAGTCTGATTCACCGACCTTTACTGAGGCTCACTCACCAACCTTTGGTCATTCTTGGACATAGAAGCACAAATTCAACAGTGTTGTTTCCCAAAATATGTAATATGCAGGGAAAATTACTTTTCATGTAAAATAGACGTGTCCTTTTAGTATTACCAGTAGATTATTCTAATTATAGACTAGTAACATCCAACAGACTTATTTGGGTTTAGTGACAGACCTATTACTGTGTTCGCTCCTCAGTTCAAATACAGAGTGTGTATTTTGCATCGTGTGGCTGCAAGTTTTGGGGTTCTCCATCATATACTTAGCTATACAATGCCAGCTACTCTTGTCTGGATATTTTCCCAAATCCTGGATGATTACAAACTTCTCCTTCACTGGTGAAATTTTTTTTTTTTTTTTTTTTTTTGAGATGGAGTTTTGCTCTTGTTGTCCAGGCTGGAGTGCAATGGCACAATCTTGGCTCACTGCAACCTCTGCCTCCCAAGTTCAAGTGATTCTCCTGCCTCAGCCTTCTGAGTAGCTGGGATTACAGGAATGTGCCACCATGCCCGGCTAATTTTTTTTTTTTTTTTTAGTAGAGACAGGGTTTCTCCATGTTTGTCAGGCTGGTCTCCAACTCCCGACCTCAGGTGATCCACCTGCTTTGGCATCCCAAAGTGCTGGGATTACAGGCATGAGCCACAGTGCCTGGCCAATTTTTTTTTTTTTAATGAAGGGTCAAACCTGATATTAAGTCTTTCAGACAGTAAGAAGATAACTATTCAGGGTCTACAAGATGGCCAATTAGAAGCAGCTGTGGTCCATGGCACTCAGGGAGAGGAATGAAACGGGGTGAGTGAATTTAGCACTGTCAATTGAGATATTCAGGTTCTCACACTGGGACTGTCTAGGCAAACAACTCAACCCACAGAGAACAAAGAAAAGCAGGGGATGTGGGGCATGATGGCCCACCAGGAGCAGCACAGAGCCAAAGGAACCCCCACCCCCAGCCAAAGGAAGCAGTGAGTGATTGTGTGACCCTGCCCAGGAAACGACTCTTCTCCCACAGATCTTTGCAACACATGGATCAGGAGATCCCCTCACAAGCCCACAACAACAGGGCCTTGGATCCAGTACACAGAGCTGCATGGAGTCTTAGCAGAGCAGCTGCTCAGGCACACACAGAGACCCAGGAGTTTTACACATTCCAGCCTCAGGATCCCCAGCAAGGCAGGAAATCTGTCCACATATAACCCTAGGAAGGGAGCTAAATCCAGGGAGCCAAGCAGCATCATTCTGCAGGCCCCACTTCCATAGCACCTCACAAGTTAAGACGCACTGGCTTGGAATTCCAGATAGCCAATGGCAACAGCCTAGAATCTGCCTGAGATAAGTATGAATTCCTGGGGAAAGGGGGTGGCCACCATCTCTGCAGTCCAGTAGACTTAGCTGTTTAAGCCTGCCAGCTTTGGAGAATACAAATGGTCTGGATGAGGAAAGGTTCCCCATAATGCAGCACAGCTGCCTTGCCAGATCATGGCCAGACTGCTTCTTTAAGCAGGACCTTGATCCATCCCTTCTCAGTGGGCAGGACCTCCCTGTGGAGGCTTCAGCCATTCTAGCCAGTGTTCTACATTGAGAGCTCTGATCTCTCCCTGGGATGGAGCTCCTGGCAGGGAGGGGCAGCCTCCATCTCTGCAGTTCAGTCAACTCAGTCCTTCTAGCCTGTTGGCTTTGCAGAATCCAAATGGTCTGGACGAGAAAGCCTCCTCATAATGCAGCACATTTGCTCTACCAAAAAGCAGACAGACTGCTTCTTTAATCAGGCCCCTGATCCTGTTCATCCCAACTGGATGAGACCTCCCAACAGGGTCTCCAGCCACCTCCTACAGGTGTGTTCTGGCCAGCAACAGGTCAGTACCCCCCAGGGATGGAGCTTCCAGAGGAAGAAGCTGGCTGCCATCTTTGCTGTTTCACAGCCTTCACTGATGATACCTCCAGTATGGGAAAAACCGAGGCAACTAAGGTCTGGAGCGGACTTCCAGCAAACCACAGCAGCCCTACAATAAAGTGGCCTGACTAGTAAAGGAAAAACAAAAAACAGAAAACAACAAGAACAGTATCAATGAAAAGGACCCCACAAAATCCAAGGTCAAAGGTCAGCAAGCTCAAAGATTGAAGGTAGATAAGCCCACAAAAATGAGAAAGAATCAACACAAAAATGTTGAAAACTTAAAAAGCAAGAGTGCCTTTTCTCCTCCAAATGACTGTAACACCTCTCCAGCAATGGCACAGAATTGAGCTGAGGCTGAAATGGCTGAATTGACAGAAGTAGGGTTCAGAAGGTGGTAATAATGAACTTTGCTGAGCTAAAGAAGCATGTTGTAACCCAATGCAAAGAAGCTAAGAATCATGATAAAACAATACAGGAGCTGACAGCCAGAATAACCAGTTTACAGAGGAACATGATCAACCTAATGGAGCTGAAAAATACAACACAAGACCTTCACAATGCAATTACAAGTATCAGTGGGAGAACAGACCAAGTGGAAGAAGGAATCTCAGAGTCTGAACACTATCTCTCTTAAATAAGAGGGGCAGACAAGAATAGAGGGAAAAGAATGAACAACACCCCCCAGAAATTTGGGATTATGTAAAGAGACTGAACCCATGACTGACTGGGGTACCTAAAAGAGATAAGGATAATGGAGTCAAATTGGAAAACATACTTCAGGATATGATCCAGAAGATCTTTCCCAACCTAGCAAGACACACCAACATTCAAATTCAGGAAATGCAGAGAACCCCAGTAAGATACTCCATGAGAAGATAAACCCCAAGACACATAATCATCGGATTCTCCAAAGTTGAAATGAAAAAAAAATGTTAAGGGCAGCCAGAGAGAATGGCCAGGCCACCTACAAACGGAAGCCCATCAGACTAACAGCAGACCTGTCCGTGGAAACCTTATAAAGTACAGTGGTTGGAAGCTATTCTTTAACATTCTTAAAGAAAAGAATCTCCAACCCAGAATTTCATATCTGACCAAACTAAGCTTCGTAAGTGAAGAAGAAATACGATCCTTTTCAGACAAGCAAACACTTAGGAAATTTGTCACCACAGGACTGCCTTGCAAGAGCTCCTCTAGGAAGCACTAAATATGGAAAGAAGAAAACCATTACCAGCCCTACAAAGCACACTGAAATACACAGACCAGCAACACTATGAAGCAACCACATAAACAAGTCTGTGAAATAACCAGGTAGCATAGTAATGACAGGATCCAACTTACCCATAACAATACTAACTTTTAAGTGTAAACAGGGTAAATGCCACAATTAAAAGATATAGAATTGCAAGCTGAGTAAAGAACCAAGACTCACTGATATGCTGTCTTTAGGAGACACATCTCACATGCAAAGACAAACATAGGCTCAAAATAAACGGATGGAAGAAATTTTACCAACCAAATGGAAAACAGAAAAAAGCAGGGGTTGCAATCTTAGTTTCTGACAAAACAGACTTTAAACCAACAAAGAACAAAAAAGACAAAGAAGGGCATTATATAACGGTAAAGGGTTCCATTCAACAGGAAGAGCTAGCTATCCTAAATATATATGCACCCAATACAGGAGCACCCAGATTCATAAAGCAAGTTCTTAGAGACCTACAAAGAGAGACCTGGACTCCCACACAAAAATAGTGGGAGACTTTAACACCCCACTGACAGTATTAGAAACATCACTGAGACCAAAAACTAACAAATATATTCAGGACCCAAATTCAGCTCTGGATTAAGTGGAACTGATAGATATCCATAGAATTCTTCACCTGAAAACATCAGAATATACACTCTTCTCATCATCATATGGCTCTTGCTCAAATCGATCACATATTTGGAAGTAAAACATTCCTCAGCAAATGCAAAACAACTGAAATCATGACAGTCTCTCAGATCACAGTTCAATCAAATTAGAACTCAAGATCAAGAAATTCACTTAAACCACACAACTACATGGAAATTGAACAACCTGCTCCTGAATGACTCTTGGATAAATAACAAAATTAAGGCAGAAATCAAGAAGTTATTTGAAACTAATGAGAACAAAGAGACAATGTACCAGAATCTCTGGGACAGATAAATCAGTGTTAAGAGGGAAATGTATTGCACTAAAGGCCCACTACAAACCTCTGCTCAAAGAAATGAGAGAAGATACAAACAAATGAAGAAACATTCCATGCTCATGGGTAGGAAGAATCAATATTGTGAAAATAGCCATACTGTACAAAGTAACTTATAGATTCAATGCTATTCCCATTAAACTACCATTGACGTTCTTCACAGAATTAGGAAAAAAAACTATTTTAAAATTCATATGGAACCAAAAAAGAGCCTGAATAGAAATAGACAAGACAATCATAAGCAAAAGGAACAAAGCTAGAGGAATCATGCTACCAGACTTCAAACTATACTTTAAGGCTACAGTAACCAAAACAGAATGGTGCTGGTACAAGAGCAGACACATAGACCAATGGAACAGAATAGAGAACTCAGAAATAATACGACACACCTACAACCATCTGATCTTCAACAAACCTGACAAAACAAGCAATGGGGAAAGGACTTCCTATTTACTAAATGGTGTTGGGAGAGTTGGCTAGCCAAATGCAGAAAATTGAAACTGGACTCCTTCCTTACACCATATACAAAAATTAACTCAAGATGGATTAAAGACTTACATGTAAAACCCGAAACTATGAACACCCTAGAAGAAAACGTAGGCAATCTCATTTAGGACATAGGCACAGGCAAAGATTTCATGACGAACATGCCAAAAGCAATTGCAACAAAAGCAAAAATTGACAAATGCAATCTAATTAAACTAAAGAGATTCTGCACAGCAAAATAAACTATCATCAGAGTAAACAGACACCCTGTAGAATAGGAGAAATTTTTTTTGCAATCTATCTATCTGAAAAAGGTCTAATATCCAGAGTCTGCAAGGAACTTAAACTTACAACAAAAAAACAACCAGACAACCCCATTAAAAAGTAGGCAAAGGATGTGAACAGACACTTATCAAAAGAAGACATACATGTGGCCAAGAAACATTTAAAAAATAGCTCAACATCACTGATCATTAGAGAAATGTAAATCAAACCACAATGAGATTCCATCTCATGACAGCCAGAATGGCTATTATAAGAGTCAAAAAACAATGGATGCTGGTAAGGTTGCAGAGAAAAAGGAACACTTTTACACTGTTGTGGGAGTGTAAATGAGTTAAACCACTGTGGAAGACAGTGTGGTGATTCCTCAAAGGCCTAGAGGCAGAAATACCACTTGACCTAGCAATTCTATTATGGGGTACATACCCAAAGGAATATAAATCATTCTATTATAAAGATACATGCATGTGTATGTTCATTGCAGCACTGTTCACCATAGCAAAGACATGGAATCAACCTAAATGCCCATCAGTGATAGACTGGATAAAGAAAATGTGGTGCATACAACATGGAATTATATGTTGGCATAAAAAGAAATGAGATCAGGCTGGGCACGGTGGCTCATGCCTGTAATCCCAGCACTTTGGGAGGCCGAGGTAGGCAGATCACGAGGTCAGGAGATTGAGACCATCCTAGCTAACACAGTGAAACCCCATCTCTACTAAAAAGACAAAAAATTAGCCGAGCGTGGTGGCGGGCACCTGTAGTCCCAGCTACTCGGGAGGCTGAGGCAGGAGAATGGCATGAACCCGGGAGGCGAAGCTTGCAGTGAGCTGAGATCGTGCCACTGCACTCCAGCCTGGATGACAGAGCAAGACTCCATCTCAAAAAATAAATAAATAAATAAATAAATAAATAAATAAAAAGAAATGAGATCATGTCCTTTGCAGGGAAATGGATAGAGTTGGAAGCCATTATACTCAGCAAACTAATGGGAACAGAAACCCAAACACTGCATGTTCTCACTTATAAGAGGGAGCTGAATGGTAAGAACACATGGACACATCACAGGGAACAAGACACACTAGGGCCTGTCAGAAGACCGTTAGTGGGAGGGAGAGCATGAGGCAAGAAAAGCTAATGAATGCTGGCTTGATACCTGGGTGATGGGATGATCTGTGCAGCAAACCACCATAGCACATGTTTACCTATGTAACAAACCTGCACTTCCTGCACAGGTGCCCTGGAACTTAAAATAAAAGTGGAAGAGCTCCCTCTCCCTCCCCCTCCCCCTCCCCCTCCCCCTCCCCCTGCCTCTGCCTCTGCCTCTGCCTCTCTGTCTCCCCTTTCCACGGTCTCCCTCTGATGCGGAGCCGAGGCTGGACTGTACTGCCGCCATCTCGGCTCACTGCAACCTCCCTGCCTGATTCTCCTGCCTCAGCCTGCCGAGTGCCTGGGATTGCAGGCGCGCGCCACCACGCCTGACTGGTTTTTGTATTTTTTGGTGGAGACGGGGTTTCGCTGTGTTGGCCGGGCTGGTCTCCAGCTCCTGACCGCGAGTGATCTGCCTGCCTCGGCCTCCCGAGGTGCCGGGATTGCAGACGGAGTCTTGCTCACTCAGTGCTCAATCTTGCCCAGGCTGGAGTGCAGTGGTGTGATCTCGGCTAGCTACAACCTCCACCTCCCAGCCGCCTACCTTGGCCTCCCAAAGTGCCGAGATTGCAGCCTCTGCCCGGCCGCCACCCCGTCTGGGAAGTGAGGAGCGTCTCTGCCTGGCCGCCCATCCTCTGGGATGTGAGAAGCCCCTCTGCTCGGCCGCCCAGTCTGGGAAGTGAGGAGTGCCTCTTCCCGGCCGTCATCCCGTCTAGGAAGTGAGGAGCGTCTCTGCCTGGCCGCCCATCGTCTGAGATGTGGGGAGCGCCTCTGCCCCGCCGCCCCGTCTGGGATGTGGGGAGCGCCTCTGCCCGGCCACGACCCCGTCTGGGAAGTGAGGAGCCCTCTGCCCGGCCGCCACCCCGTCTGGGAGGTGTACCCAACAGCTGATTGAGAACGGGCCATGATGACGATGGCGGTTTTGTCGAATAGAAAAGGGGGAAATGTAGGGAAAAGAAAGAGAGATCAGATTGTTACTGTGTCTGTGTGGAAAGAAGTAGACATGGAAGACTCCATTTTGTTCTGCACTAAGAAAAATTCTTCTGCCTTGGGATGCTGTTAATCTATAACCTTACCCCCAACCCCCTGCTCTCTGAAACATGTCTTGTGTCCACTAAGGGTTAAATGGATTAAGGGCGGTGCAAAATGTGCTTTGTTAAACTGATGCTTGAAGGCAGCATGCTCCTTAAGAGTCATCACCACTCCCTAATCTCAAGTACCCAGGGACACAAAAACCGCGGAAGGCCGCAGGGTCCTCTGCCTAGGAAAACCAGAGACCCTTGTTCACATGTTTATCTGCTGACCTTCCCTCCACTATTGTCCTATGACCCTGCCAAATCCCCCTCTCCGAGAAACACCCAAGAATGATCAATAAATACTATAAAAAAAATAAAAAATAAAAAAAATAAAGTTGAATCAAAGAAAAAAAAAGTCGAAGAAAAAAAAGAAGATAACCATTTGAATTGCCTCATCAGGTGGCTTGTTATGGGAGAATGTATATTTCCAAGACTCTTGAAATTAAAGAGAGTGAGCTATCATAAACTGTGAGCTCCTAGACAGAAATAATTTAGAGTATGTGATAGTAAGCACACCTGTCAAGGCTCTCTCCTTTGAAGAAAATGTAATGAGGAGGACTCTGAAAGAAATTAGAGCATGTACACACAAAGATTCAAAATCAATCAACATTATTATTACAAAAGCTGAGAGCAGAATTAAAAGAATGCCTGTGCTTGGAATACTTGTTATGGAGAATTTTAATTTGCTAAGAAAATGGATGAGACACTACAGTATTTTGAAGTGATACTTCCTTCTGATCATCAGAACAGGAGCAAAGGAAGAATATTTAAAATTGAAAGCTTTTATATAATTCTTACTGTGTTTTGGGCATTTCAAGTGGGTTCATTTTCCAAGTAGAAAATATTCAGCATCTACTTAGAATGCCTTATTTTATGGAAGAGTAAACTGAAGTAGAGAGAAGATACATAATTTTCTTCATGTCACATGGCTAGTAAATGGAGGAAAGAGGGATTCAAACACAAGAATTTGGGGACTGGATTCCTTTTAACCATTTATAAACTATTATAACCAAAATTAAAAATATAGGTTCATTAAAATGGAAGAGGAACAAGACTTCCTTAGGAATAGTTCTAACTTCTTAGAAGACATATTTCTCATATGAAAGAAAGAGGAGGTTCTCGGCCGGGTGTGGTGGCTCACACCTGTAATCTCAGCACTCTGGGAATTTGAGGCAGGCGGATCACTTGAGCTCAGGAGTTTGAGACAAGCCTCGGCAACATAGTGAGATCCCATCACTACTAAAAATAAAAAAAAATTATCTGGGGATTGGTGGTGCATGCCTGTGGTCCCAGCTACTCGGGAGGCTGAGGTGGGAAAATCACTTGAGCCTAGGGGGTAGGGGTTGCAGTGAGCCAAGAGCATGCTACTGTATTCCAGCCTAGGTGACAGAGTGAGACCTCACCCCCAATTAAAAAAAAAAAGAAAGAAAAGAAAAGAAAGAAAGAAGAGGCTCTCATATCCAGGAAAGATCAATTTTAGAGGGAAGAGGAAATGCACTCAGGGTCAACTGCTCTCAAGGAGTTATTAGAAGAGATTTATTTTGGTTGTTACTAAGGCAGGCAAGATAACTGGATGTAAAGAATCTTCATGGAGGAAAAACAAAGATACAGGATCTCAGAGGGGAGACTAGATAAACTTTACAGAGGAAGACAGGATTTGGGGATTTGTTAAGGAATGACTTAAAATCAACACTATATAAAGGGTTATATGCAATTTGGACATTTTTGAGAAGAGATGCCCTGAGACATCAATTGAAGACTCTCAAATTATTTGATGTTCAGCTCTAGCCTGTGCTTGAAAGGAGCCTGCTTAATTATTTTTAAAATTATGATTCTTAAAGTGTAAGAAAGATGGAACATATTAAAGGAAAAGCAGGCAAACAAAAAATGAGAATACCTTTTAGATACAATTGCTCAACCAAGGAAATTAAAGATATTCAATATTTATCTTAATAGTGCTTGCTTTAGAGGATCCAGACATTGTTAATTGCACATCTCTCAATAGAGAAGACCACAGAGATCAAATCTAGAATATTTTGAAAAGACTAGTGACAAGTACAAACATAAAATTTAAGAAGGAATTTAATTCTAGTGAATATTGCTAATACTACATGTGCTTGAGAAAGAACAGGACAAATTTACAAAGCCTTTCAAACTTCTAGAAATTCAGCTTAAGCTAGACCAGGCCCAGTGGCTCACGCTTGTAATCCCAGCACTTTGGGAGGCCGAGGCGGGTGGATTACCTGAGGTCAGGAGTGAGAGACCAGCCTGGCTAACATAGTGAAACCTCGTCTCTATGAAAAATACAGAAATTAGCTTGGCATGGTGGCACAAGCCTGTAATCCCAGCTACATGGGAGGTTGAGGCAGGGGAATCACTTGAACCCAGGAGGTATAAGTTGCATTGAGCCGAGACCATGCCACTGCACTCCAGCCTAGGCAACAAAAGCAAAATTCCATCTCAAAAAGAAAAAAAAAAAAAGTAGTGAGCCAACTCTTTATTCAGTAGGGGATCCTGTCCGCTAAGGAAAAGGTAATGGAAGGGCATATTCGATTCAGGAGAATGCTAGCTAGCCCAATAAGCTGCAAAGCTCAGCCCCTTCTTTACCAGAATCAAAGCTCACATTTCCACTTCAGTTGATCTGACATGAGTATTTTTCTCTCAGGTGTTTTGAATCTTAGGTCAGAAAGAGTGGTTACCCCTGCGCATGACCACTGTGCCAATGTAACACAGCATATATTACTTTGGGTCTTGACAAAGGGCTCATTTTTAGTGACTGAGTCCTTCTGGCCACCAGGAGACACTTCAGTGCCACAACCACTCACTGACACTTTAGAGTTGCTAAGAGGACTGTCAGGCCGTGGGAAACTAAGAAGAAGCTCAGGCTTGGTACCTGAATCATGAGTCCTACCTGTTGAGCACTGAAAAAGCACTGGAAAGAGAAGGGAGGACCCAAAACTTCTAAACCTGTGCGAATGGGCTAAGACCAATAGTGAGGTTGGGATTTTAGGCAAGTTTGGGATGGTTGTCAGACAAAGAAGCCACTGATATACCACTAGTACAATGCAGTTCGAATTACAATAAAAAGTTATAGGGGGTTTTTTTGGGTCAGAAAGAGAAGAAGTAAAAGAGCACACATGATTCCTATCTCCTTTTATCCTCCAAACTAACTCTCACTAACCCACAGAAATGTTTTCATAGGTGGCACAAAGGTAGGCTGCAACAATTGTGGCCAATATTATGGTAGAGAAGGACCCTGCCCTGTAATGCTCAACATATTAATGTTACGTGAGAGTGGGACAGGGTCATCTCTGTGACAGTATAGTCACAGAAGCCTCTTCCTGCTCAAATAAGTGGCCTTCATTAAAAGAAACACAGAAGAATCTTGTTTCATAAGCTAATGCCAATCACTGAGACAGCAACGGTTTCAGGAACATGAGGGAAGCTGTTGGAATGGGCTTTCCTTTAAACCTAGCCTGGTTCCATCATGCTGATGTGGTGGGGGCTTTAAGTCAGGGCCTGAGAAGGACAGCCTAACTGTGGTATAAGTCAGAGGGCTCCTCATTCCTCATAAGCCGACAAATACATTAATATCATCAGAAAAATTACCAGGGCCTGTGGTGTCCCAAATTCTGATTTCATTTTCCATTGAAGATCAGAGCACAGAGGAAGGAGATACCTCACTCATGTGCTCTTCTTGTTATATGCTCACAGTTTCTTTGTTTCATGACTCTGTACCCTGGAAGAGGTTAGACCTGGATATGCTAAAAAAAAATTTTTTTAATCCCTATCCTAGAATATTGTGGCCTTGAATCAAAGTGTTTTCTATGTTTGTGTTTTCATCTTCCTTCCTAAGCCCTATATCTAGGTTTTGCCTTCTCCATCCACAAATCTCAGGATGCTATGGAGTCTGAAGACACCTGATTGCAGAAAGCACAAGACCCCCCACCAGCACACACACATACACAAACAAATACAGGACCAGAAAGGAGTGGTTACTGCTGATTCTCTAACATTACAAAAATATCACGGTTGTAACTTCTCACCCTGCCAGTCATATGTTTCTCTGTCACTTGACATACTCCCCTCTTTGGGGTGTTGGAGGAAAAATCTCTGTGCCAACAGCAGAGACATGGAACTAGTGTGTCACATCCACTCTATGAACAGAATTCTTACTACTATTTATACCCTAAAAAGCAGGCCATTTTCTAGAGTTTCACCCCCTCACCAGAAAGAATTTATTTGTGAGTATTGGTTGACTTACTATAACAAGAGACTCAAGTGTTAATCATTAAAGGAACCTGTTAGTGCTTTCTTAGAAGTAAGAGGAAGATCACATTTAACTGGAGAGTGCCTTATTGTGGTTTTCAAGGAAGGTCAAAGCTCTTACTTATCACTGCTCAATCTTCACCCATGCCCAAAGAATTAACATAATTTTGAACCTTACCCTGGAGAAGCGAAATGGGACCTTGTCCTCCAGAAATGCAGAAGACACTGTGCTGTGGGCTGGGGGAGTCACGGAGCACGAGAGTATCCATCTCCAGCCCTCACTGGAAATAAAATCTGCACAGTTCTATCTCTTTCCAGGGCAGCCACCTTGTTCTCTGCATGAGGAGCATGGAGGTCCAGATGCTTCCAGGAGGGATATGGGGCAAAGCTCTAACTAAGCAACACATTATTTTGATTTTGTGTGTCTGGGATATAAGGATGGCCGGTAAGGGGAACAATAAAGTTCTTGAGATTTCACAAGTAATTTATTGATGTCCAGAATTTGAGGTGCTGATGGTACACCTAAGTGGCAATATGCACCAGGCAGATCAATATGTGACGCGTCAGAGAAAGCAGAATGGGTGATGTGATGTGCAATGCCACAGAAGCACTGCAGCCAGGAGAGGTGACAGCTAATGGGGATGTTTGGAGTCTTTGAGTGAACCAAACACATCCCAGAGTAATTGTAATTTATTTCAGTCAATCTTCTGTACAGACTTAGCATTCACCTTTGGAGGAAGGTCCTTTGAGCAGGGACAGAGATGGTGATGTCACTGACAGTCCCCCTTTTACTCTGGGTGAGAGGTCTAGAATCCTCAGCTCCTGTATTCGTGCCCACAAGGGCCTCATCTAGGTGAAGGCTCCACCTGCCCCACCCTGCCATGGCCACCAGGCTCCTCTGCTGTGTGGTTCTTTGTCTCCTGGGAGAAGGTGAGTCCCCACAAATAAAGCACCTGCATTTTTGGATATTGCCAGTTATGATTCCAATTATGTTTCTTATTCTGTCCCCAAATTCTATCTCTTTTCACAGAGCTTATAGATGCTAGAGTCACCCAGACACCAAGGCACAAGGTGACAGAGATGGGACAAGAAGTAACAATGAGATGTCAGCCAATTTTAGGCCACAATACTGTTTTCTGGTACAGACAGACCATGATGCAAGGACTGGAGTTGCTGGCTTACTTCCGCAACCGGGCTCCTCTAGATGATTCGGGGATGCCGAAGGATCGATTCTCAGCAGAGATGCCTGATGCAACTTTAGCCACTCTGAAGATCCAGCCCTCAGAACCCAGGGACTCAGCTGTGTATTTTTGTGCTAGTGGTTTGGTCACAGCGCTGCAGAATCACCTGCTCCCTGTGCAGAAACCCTGGTGCTTCCTCTTCTCCTCCAGTACCCAGCAGCTCTCAGCAGCCTTTCTTGCTCCTCCCCTAGCACAGGAAGTACATAGGTTTCGTGTTCCACATGTCCCTAGGCAAGGCAAGAACAGGTCATAAGGACACATCACGTTAGGAAACTTTTGGTAGGAAGTCAGTGGGTGTGATGGTTCCTGGGATTCCACACATACTTCTCACAAGGGTGCCTGAGTCCAAGTTTGAGGGCGAGTGTCACAGACTGGAGCTTTCAAGTGATTGAGTGAGCTTAAAACTGTGCAGCCATTGCACATGGATGCTTATCTCCTTTGCTGCTTTCCGTTATGGCTTCTTTGCCATTTCTTTTCTCTTCTACCTTAAAACTTTCAACATCTTTGATGACTTCCAACATCAATATTGGCTTCCCAGTTTTTTCACTTGCTCACTTCAAATGATCATTTCCTTCACCTTGTGTCAGATATTCATTTCCACTTTCTTTTTCTAGATTCCAATGACAAATTATTTGAATTACCCCCAAATAGTTTCCTCAAGCATCCCATTGTCTCATGCGGGCTTCTCTTTTCATCTCTGGTACTACTTCTGCAGCAATTCTTCAACCCCATCAGGACCACTAATTGACTTCTCCTGCAAATATTGCACCATATATCATCTCCTCATGTACTATATTCCTTATCTGACTTAGACTATGTGTTCCAAGGTGATTGTGAAATTTTGCATATGTCTTCAGCTCTTTTCTTTTTCTGTTTCTTACCTGGAAAATAAAATGGGGCCTACTCTGTGCCCCTTTCAATGACACAGAGAACATAAAATGTCCCTTACCCTTGTCAAGCAGTATTATAACGATACAGTGTGTCTTGAGGTCTGTAAGTCCCTCTATGCATATAAAATTATATACTTTTCTTCTATTAAAATAATTTGTTACCTTTTAATGAGTTCATCAGTTTCATCTTTCAATTATAGTTATACTTTTGACAATTATAGAAGTACTAAAAAAAGTTATGCACCCAGAATGTATGATTCTATCACTTTTATGTGTGTGCGCACTTCACTTCATACGTACAAAAAAGTTAAAAGAATGCCGAATAGGCATATTTATCCATTCTCTTGTAGGAATGATAAAGATGAACTTCCAAGGGGAAAATATTTTCAAAATAATCCATGGCACATAAAATTATTTAAGAAAAAATAAATCAATAAATATCCCTGTTAAGTTTATATATAGTTTTATATGCTTGGGTAAGGAAGAAAAAAAGTTGTGATATATTTTGCTGGTTATTTGGAGAGATAAAATATAGAAAGAGCAGAAAGAACATGATTAGCTTTGTCTTTGTTTAAAATTTTTGCTTTTTAAATTTGATACACTATTTACCATCAAAATTTAAAACAACACCACTGCTATAAAACAATATACAAACAAACTAAAAAGAAAAAGGAATTTACTATGTAAAAAAAAAAAAAAAAAAGCGAGAGCTTATAGGCAGAGTATTAAGGGGAATTTAAAATTATAAAGACCTGTAAGTTTTCAGAGCGGTATAGGCCTCACAGCTGGAGCTGGGATTTTAATGTCCATATGAAAGAGATGACAGAAAACAGCCAGAATTACATTGCTTGCCTTAATCCTGGAGCTTCAAAATGCTCCCAGGCTTTATAAAGTAAAAGTATTACACCCCAAAGACCCAGAAACATAATTGGAAACTGGATGTTTGGTCAGGCCTTTGGGTGATAGATAAAAAGGAAAAGTTAGGAGAGAAAAATTGAATCTTCAGACTGTGTCTCACATGTGTTTGGAATGAAATATACTCTGCATGGAATGTACACCATATACCCAAAAACTGACAAAAAGGTCCATAACCATTAAAACCCTTGGAGACCCTGGCATTAAGAGATTCAATACGGTTCTGGAGTAAACTTCTGCTTCCAACCAAGATAGATTAACGGGAATTAGATTTAACTTCTTGCTTGAAACAGCTAACACCCCAACCCCCACCCTGTCCCCCTGCACACACACATTCACACAACATGTGGAATAACGGTTGTCAAGACATTGGAAGTAGGCAACAGAAGACAGTGATCTCTGAGAGATGGAAACAACCAAGCTGAGAACTATGACTGTCTTAATACCTGGAGGGAGTTTCCAGGCCCTGGGCCAGAAAGAGGAATCCAAGCAGAGCTGGGTGATCTCACTGAGCTGAGTCAGAGTTGGAAATACAAGATCAAAGCAGCTAGATTTCACATGACAGGCCATTGAAAAGGCGATTGCTGCACAGAGAGAATCCTGGAGACCTTCCTAGGGTCTCCCTTAACCCTTCAGCTGTGCTGTAAGCAGTACATGTGTGAGGAAACTCCCTAAGGTTGGAGAAAGAGCCACTCAGCAAGATTAGAGGAAACAATGCCTGGAGCTCACAAAGGGCTGAGAGTAATATATACATATATTACTCTCATATATATATGTATATGTATATTTTTGCATTGAGAATGGGAAACTTAATAATTCATGGGTCAATCAGTAGAGGTTTCAGATGACTTATGCCTCAGTATAAAAGCAAAATAAGCCCTTCACTAAATAAGCCACATTTGGCTCCTGGCCTATGTGGGTGAGACTTCAAAATATCAAACTGTTTCCAAGTAACTTAAGTCTCAGAGCAAAACTAAAGAATATTTCTAATGTACAAGAATACCTGTTCGGAGATATCAGTATGAATTTATTGTTTTTAAACGTATAGATACAATGGTAAAGAAATGAATACATACCTGTGTGAATAATGGGTTGGTATATATACATGTATTTCATACTTCTGTCCACTTAGAAGACCACTAGTGCACAGATGTTTGTTGCCAAATATTATTCTCCAATTAAAAAAAAATGAAAGGTGGTTCTAGGACCCTGAGGTAAAAAATACAAGAATGTTGTAATGAGGTTTTCCAAAAAAAAAAAAAAAAAAAAAAGGATGGGACATATCTCAAAAGGACAGAGGAATCAATCTGAAAGAGCTTCCCCAATGACTAAGGCTGGAACAATTTGTAAAAGAAAATTCACAAGTTCACACTGAGAATGAAACGATTAAATAAATAAATAAATAATAAAAAATGTGAGAAAGGACAATCTCTTACTGAAGAATTCCAAATTGCATATGTAGAAGAAACAGAGGGAAATAGAAAAGTCACTGTGACAACACCACTGTGAGTAACTGCCACACATAAAACCCAATAGTGAGTGCTAAAATTAGTGGGTGTAGCTAATTTTAATTACTAATTAATAACTAATAACTTTAATAACTAATTAAGAAGAAATGGATCATTTGTACAGTCACAAAGTGTCATCCCCAAAATATTAATTAATATGGTGGTTTTAACATATGCCCACACATTCTTTTATACTCATCCCTCTAGATTCCCCTCTCCTGGATTCAGTGGCCTGCCTCTAATGAACAGACATGGGAAATAGAAAAATGGTAACCGAGTGACCAAAGTAAATAAACATGACCCATAATAAGTCTTGTTAACCTCATGTGCATTCTCTTATGATGCAATGTTGTGATGTTATCATGTGACTACATATCTGTAATATTCCTCCCCCAAATCTATAATTCCTGTCTAATAATGAGAAAGCATCAAACAAATCCAAACTGAAAGAGATTCTACAAAACACCTGACCAGTAATCTTCAAATGTCAATATCGTTAAAAACAAGGAAAGAGCTGTCACAAATTGAAGAACACTAAGAAGATATGACACTTAAATGCAGTATGGGATCCTGGATTAGGTGCTAGGGCAGGAAAAGGTCATTATTAGAAAAACTGGGGAAATCTGAGTACAGTCTAGCTTAGTTGTGCCAATGTCAAATTCTTAGTTTGTGTGATGTTAGCACTAGTGGGTGTTGGATGAAGGATATAAAGTCACTTGGTAGTATTGTTATAGCCACAGGACATCAATTCTCCAGCTTTGGGTCACCTGAGTCCCTATCAAGCCAATTTGTGAAGCTGCTGTTAGTTGTCCTTACTCCCCAGTCTTGGAGCTCTCAGTTAGACCTAGAATCAACCTCTTCTTCCTCTTGACCTCTGCTTCACTGCATCCTAAACGTGGTGAGGTGGAGGGGTGGTGAGGGAGGCTGAGCAGAAGCCCATCATTCAGAAGCCCATCACTAGAGCTTCTCTGATGATTCTCTGAGACAGGGGCTCCCTCTGTAGTCTCCTTTGTGCACAATCCCAAGCACGCTGGGCCACACAGACTCCACCAAAGCTAGTTTTGTGAGGAGGCAAATATTGAGGCTCCATTGTGAAGAGAATGTCCATGTCAGATTTAAGTACAAAAGATTAAAGTTGATGCATTACTATTGCAGGAAAATGATACCTGTGAGAATTTCCAAAAGCCAGATTTTGTATTGTGTGGCTGGCTGAGTAATACCCCTCCCCACAAAGACATTCACATCCTAATCCCTGGGATCTGCCTCTGTTACCTTAGATGGTGAGAGTAGACTTTACAGATGTGATGAAGTTAAGGATCTGGAGATAAGGAGATTATTTTGGATTAGCCTGGTGGCCCTCAATGCAATTACATGTGTCCTTATAAGAGATAGCCAGGGGGAGATCAGACACAAATGGAGAAGAGAAGGCAATGTGACCACAGGAGAAGAGATTAGAGTGAGGTGAACACAAGCCAAGGAGTGAGGCAGCCACTAGAAACAGAGGCAAGGAACGAATCCTCTCCTATAGCCTCCAGGGGGAATACGGTCCTGATGACACCTGGATTTTGGTCCATTGATACTGATTTTGGACTTTTCCAGAACTGTGAGAATAAATCTCTGTCATTGTAAACCAGCAACTTTGTGGTAATTTTTATAGCAGCCACTCAAAATTAACACACTCCAATATGTCCAGTTAACCTGAGACTAGGCCAAGAAACTCATGTTCTTATAATATTTTCTGCAAACCTTGCTGTCATGTTTTTATCTGACACCCATCTCAAACTATAATGAAAGAAAATAATTTTGAGACTTCAATGTCCCCCTGTCTGGGGTGTGCCTTCCATAGTTCATTGGAAAAGTCTAGTCTCCTTTCAAGATTTTATTCCAGCAGTACCTCCTCTTGAAAGAATTTAAGGCATTGTTTTATGTTCTCAGTGCACATACTAAAAAGAAAAAGACAAAGACTCATGTCTACTTGATGTTTACATTTTTGCGGGGAGGGAGAGACAGAGATAAACAAATAAGTAAGGCATATAGTGTATTAGCAGGTGATACCTGCAATGCAGAAAAGAAAAGGCAGACTAAGGTGAGGGAGACCAGGACTGTCAGAGTAAGGAGCGTTGAAATGACAATACATTGTTCAGAGTAGGGCCCAATGAGGAAGTGACCTTTGAGCAAAGATTTCAAGGAGATGAAGGAAAGAGACATGTAGGTATCTGGGGGAAAAGAATTCCAGGCAGAGGGAGGAGCCAGTACAAATACCCTAAAAAAATATTTTAGGACCAATGAGGAGGCCCATATGACTGAAAAATTAAGGAAGGGAGTGGTAGGCTTTATTTCCAAGCGGTAATGGGGCAGGATGGATCATTTAAGACCTTGATGGCCTTAAGTGCTTTGTTGTTTTGTTTTCTTATTCCAAATAAAACTGGGAGCTAGTAGATGATTTGGAGATGAGTGACATGATCTAGCATGTTCTAGAGGGCTGAGTTTGAGAGCTAGTTCAGAAGTAGGTGAAAGCAGGGAGATCAGTTAGGAATCTATTGCAGTAATCCAGGAAAAAGATGATGGTGGCCTTGTCCTGAGGGTTAGCAAAGAAGGTGATGAAAAAATGGATGGATTCTGAGTGTATTTTCATGATAGAGCCAGTTGAATTTCCTAATGGATTGGCTATAGGGTGGGATAGAAAAAGAGGATTTGGGAACCACTCTAAGGTTTTCAGCTGGAAGGCTGTTGGTGGAGTAAAGTTGAGGATAATCTTTCATGTTTAGAGCATGCTGTTTGAGAGTGGTGGGGGGAAAATGTTGATTGGAGTGCATTAGAGAGATAATGGGAAAAGAGAATTTGGAGGTAAGTATTGATCATTAGCAATAGCAACAATAGCTACCGTAGATTAAAATGCCCCACAGTCTATGGGGATGTGATACATGAGGGAAGACAGGGCCAGATGGGATGAGGTAGGATCCAGACATCAGACTCAGGAGCTACGAGTGGTATATATAAGGTTAACACCTAGTCAAATGCATAAACAGGTTGATTTTAATTGATGTCAGTTTTTCTCCATTGCCCCCTCTAGAGGCAATCTTCTTCAGAGAACCCTGGCTAGGTCTTCTATGTTTCATGTCCGTAGAGGGAGCTCCTGAGACTGTGGACATTGGCTAATATGCTGATGTCACTGGAGGCCACATCTTACAGGGCCAAGAGACAGATTTGCTTTCCTTTTTCTCATGCTTGTAAGCTCCTTCATCTGGAAATGTGATTTACCTGGGTCCTGCCATGGTTTCCAGGCTTCTCAGTTTAGTGTCCCTTTGTCTCCTGGGAGCAAGTGAGTCTTCAGGTACTTAAATATCTGTGCTGTACCCTATCCCAGTCTATTCATGTCATGTATTCTGTTTTTGTCTCTTCCCACAGAGCACATAGAAGCTGGAGTTACTCAGTTCCCCAGCCACAGCGTAATAGAGAAGGGCCAGACTGTGACTCTGAGATGTGACCCAATTTCTGGACATGATAATCTTTATTGGTATCGACGTGTTATGGGAAAAGAAATAAAATTTCTGTTACATTTTGTGAAAGAGTCTAAACAGGATGAGTCCGGTATGCCCAACAATCGATTCTTAGCTGAAAGGACTGGAGGGACGTATTCTACTCTGAAGGTGCAGCCTGCAGAACTGGAGGATTCTGGAGTTTATTTCTGTGCCAGCAGCCAAGACACAGTGCTTCACAGTCGTGCCCTTGCTGTGCAAAACCATAGCCTTCTCCTCTCAACTCACAGCTGCCCAAAAGGAAGGCTTTCCCTGTGCCTTCTCCCCCAAGGGAGGGGAGATAAAGAACCAGAATTAACTCATGAAATACAAGAGTATTCCAAGAAGATTTGGGTGAAAATACTTGTGGTTTGGGGGATCTCTGAAGTTTTTTAAACAGAACTCAAACTATGTGTTTCTCATATTTATTTTTATTTTTTAAAGTGTATGTTGCCCTGGTTATAAAGCAGACTTCTTGCCTATCTTGCTGCTCTGAAAGGTTTGTGACTCTGACTGTGAGGCCACATCTTTATATCCCTTCTTATAGTAAGAGAAACAAGTCTTTCTGATGAAAATAAAAATAGTGAATAAAAATGCATTTACTACTGGCTTTTAGGATGCTCAATGATGATGCTAGCAATGGTGGTAGTGGTGACGTTGGTAATGGTGGTGATGAGTTTAGGTTGCTTTTGTCTAGCATTTATAAATTTCCAACCACTTTAAAACAATCTCATTTTAGAGTGGAATAGCTAAGTCCATTATCAGAGGTTAATGCTAATTTTCTGTTCACATAGGGTCTGAGTTTTTAATGTAAAAAATATAGTTAGCACTATAAATAGATATCTGTCAGCCGATACAGAACATTTTTTAAGATCACTTCCAGTTGCTGCAATAGGAATATGTATTCCTATTTTTTTTCTTTTTTCTTTTTCTTTTTTTGAGACGAAGTCTTGCTCTGTCGCCCAGGCTGGAGTGCAGTGGCAAAATCTCAGCTCACTGCAACTTCTGCCTCCTGGGTTTAAGCGATTCTCCTGCCTCAGCCTACCAAGTAGCTGGGATTACAGGTGCCTGCCACCATGCCTGGCTATTTGTTGTATTTTTAGTAGAGACGGGATTTCACCATGTTGGCCAGGCTGGTCTTGAACTCCTGACCTCAAGTGATCTGCCTGCCTCAGCCTCCCAAAGTGCTGGGTTTACAGGTGTGAGCTACTGTGCCCGGCCTTTTTTTCTTTTTGAGACAGGGTTTCATTCTGTCACCCCGGCTGGAGTGCCATGGCAGTGTGATCACGGCTCACTACAGCCTCGACTTCCTGGGCTCAAGCAGTCCTCCTGCCTCAGGCTCCCTAGTAGATGGGACTATAGGTGTGCATGACCACACCCAGCTAATTTTTGCATTTTTTGTAGGGACAGGTCTCACTATGTTGCCCAGGCTGGTCCTAAACTTCTTGGCTCAAGTGATCTTCCTGCCTTGGCCTCCCAAAATGCTGGGATTATAGGCATAAGACACCATGCCTGGCCTGGAATATGTAATTTTTAATGAGACCTAATGGTATAATACATTCTACCTGGTTCAACTGCCTTCTTTTAATATCTGGATTCCAATATTCTGCTCATGTTTCAGCCATGTTTTTGCAAACAGTCCTGAAATTCACTCTAATAATAAGTTTCATTTTCCCAGTCTGATTGTTATTTAGCACCTCAAATTATTATTGAACTCATCCTAATCCTGATTAGGCAAATGGATAGTGAGAAAATATTACAAGTGGGCTTGGATTTTAATTTTTTCAAACAATTTAAAACCCATTTTCCTTTTCTAATGATCAAGATCCAATTTTTAGATAATCAGTACTCTCTCTTTCTATGTGGACATGTAATATGAATAGGTATATTGTTTCTGTCACAGGCATCGCAAACTCATATCTTGCTTGAAACTTGTCGATGAACTCCTTTAGTATGACAAGAACAAAGAGAAATAGATTTTTAAAGCATAGCCACATATTGGACATGAGTTTTTCTTCAAAATTTCAGCTGCAGAACCCTAACTGGTGCCTTTCCTTTTATTGTGTTATGTAATCTAAGGTCATAATAAGTAACTAAATTATTGATTTATTTTTCCACTCTGTAATCTCTCCATTATATTTAAAAATAGCAGCTATGAAGCAAAACAAGTTCCTCGTGGGTACATTGCCTCAACTCCAAAATCTAACAAGCAGAAGTTTAATTCAGTGCTTTGCCATTTCATACTATAGACACCGAATGTTCTATCCTATAAGGGGCACACAGTGGTTCTCTTTATAGTTCTGTTAGCTCAAGTGGTATCTTTAGGTACAATTTTTAGAATTTTTTTATTTGTTAATCTTTCTTAAGGTATGATTGACAGAAAAAAATTGTAGGTATTTAAGGTATACAAGGCGATGTTTTGATATACATATACATTGCAAAATGATTACCACACTCAAGTTAATTAACATAACCATCACCTCACAAAGTTACCTTTGTATGTATATGTATGGTGAGAATGATCTACTCTCAGAAAATTTCGAGTGTACAATAATCATTAACTATAGTCACCATGCTGTCCATTAGGTCTCCAGAACTTTCGAGCACACTCCAAAACATCAACTTTTATTCTGATTAAGCCTCAAATATGTCTTCTTGTTGCAAATATTAGCTATTTTTAGATTAGCTATAAATAATGAAAAATGCTAGCATAAAAGATGGAAAGAATAAATGCAGATAAGGGCTCTAAGGTCTTTACACTTTCCAGGAAGTGATAAAAGCTGCAATTTAAATTATACATGAAGAAGTCAAGGATGGCAACTCCTATAAACAGCTGATACTTCAAACCTGGAATGTCTAGTGCTAAGCAGCCCGGACCCCTGCACCCAGCACACCTCTCTTTGGCATGATAGGAGGATGAGGGATCCAGGTCTTCTCCTCCCATGCTGCCCTTGGCCTTTATGTTTTGCCTTTCATTAGTAAGGCTTCTCCCTTAATTATCACCCTATGACAGGAAATTCATCCTAAGCCTGGACACGTGAGAGATGGTAACTCTGAAGCAGCCCCCTGGGCATGACACCAAATGAGGCCACACCCAGAACAAATTGCAAGAAATAACAAGGTATTTCTTACAGAATCCCTAAGAGAACATGTCTGTCTGCATTTAAGTGTCTACAGTCATAAATGCACAGCATATGATTGGATCAGATGGAACTGAAAGACTTTCAGTGCTTCATGGTGCCCATAACTCTCATTGTCCTGAAGTGGTGTTGGCAGTGGACTCAGCAGGGTGCCGTGAGGATGGTGAGGCTACACACATACGATGCTGACCAAGCTGGCTACACAGATGGGCCAAACTCACCCTGTGATGGTAGACAGAGCTTACCAATGGGGTTCCATGAATGGACAATGGGCATGCTGCTGTAATAATCCCTTCGACCATGATGGAAGTCAGGCAAGACCCAGGCCATGGGAACATTGAAAACAGTCACCTCTAGCCTCAAGTATTTCCTACTGTTTGCCACACTGTGCCTACAAATATCATTTATGATACAGCTTAAAATTTTCATGTTTATGAAAATTATTATCAGCCTTATCCAATCTGATATTTTGAATGAAATCACATTAAAACCATATATTAATTTAAGAACTGGCATCTTCATAATAGTGAGTCTTCTACAGTTTCCTAGACCACTAAAAAATCATGGATTGCTATCTCAGACTTGAAATGGGTGATCCTTATTCTTCTCTCAGTCAGAACAGTGAAAGGTACAGATTCATGGCAGCTAGTCCAGCTTCTAAAAGTCAACTTCTAATTGTCTACTTTAGGACAAAAAAGAAATAATATCCTTAGGAAGGCCACCATGGAATTCATTCTATCTGAACAATCCTTACATAATATCATTTCTTATAATATGTCCTCAACATCGTGCTCTGCATATATTTCTCCACCATCTCTAAAAATCCTCTTAGCCCAGGCCTCCTCAAACTTTAATGTGCATGTAAATTATGACCTTGTTAAAATGCAGATTCTAATCCAATCAGTCAGGGTTGGAGCTAAGGTTCCCTGTATTTTGAACAAGAGTCCGTCCAAGTGATGCCAAAGCTGCCAGTCCATGGACCACAATGAGCAGCCAAGCTCTAGATGACACCTACAATAATTACAGGTGTAAGGCCCCTCTTCTCAAGTATCATTTTGCACAGTTCCTGGACTAGGTCAGATACAGACCCTACTTACCACATGTATCTCTGTATTCCAAGTATTACGTAATCATCAGTTTTCCTAAATCTAGGCACCAATATTTTAACATATATTTTCATGGTATAAATAGAAATTAATTTTCTATAGTAAATACACTAATACCTAATCACATTCATGCATCTTTAATGTGAGTAGCAAAAAGCCAAGGCACTATCTTAATGGTTATTGAGTGAGACTTTAGCAAATACTATCTTTATGGAGAAACCTCTGGGCTGCTTTTTAGGATGTGAGAAAAGTGAGGTAAAGTGAGGAGAACTGGATGAACACGGGACAGAGACAGGGACAGGGGCAAATATGGGGACACCTGTCTCAAGGAAGCAGCAAATGATATAGAAAATAAATATCTGTTCCATCCCTGTTCCAGACAAGCCCATGTACCTGCCAAGTAGGAAGCTGTGTATCACATTGCAACAAGGAATGACCCCGGCCCTGGTAAAGTCAACAGCAACAGTCATCACAGGCCAATCTGCCTATCAGGGACTGGAGACTCTCTAAACTCCCACCTCTCAACCCAGGAATCAGAGCCTGAGACAGACAGATGCTTCATTCCTGTATGGGGTGGTATTCCTGCCATGGGTCCTGGGCTTCTCCACTGGATGGCCCTTTGTCTCCTTGGAACAGGTGAGTACCGGGCAGAAAGGAAATCTTTGAGCAAAGCTATCTTGTCCTCAGTCTGCACCTTTCATTCACAGCAGTAACACTGTCCTCCTTAACTCTGACTCCAAATTTGTCTTCTTTCTCTACAGGTCATGGGGATGCCATGGTCATCCAGAACCCAAGATACCAGGTTACCCAGTTTGGAAAGCCAGTGACCCTGAGTTGTTCTCAGACTTTGAACCATAACGTCATGTACTGGTACCAGCAGAAGTCAAGTCAGGCCCCAAAGCTGCTGTTCCACTACTATGACAAAGATTTTAACAATGAAGCAGACACCCCTGATAACTTCCAATCCAGGAGGCCGAACACTTCTTTCTGCTTTCTTGACATCCGCTCACCAGGCCTGGGGGACGCAGCCATGTACCTGTGTGCCACCAGCAGAGACACAGAGCTGCAGTGCTTCCTGCTCTCTGTTCATAAACCTCATTGTTTCCCAGATCCAGGTGCTTTCTCTAGGACTTCTCCCTCACCACCTCTTACAACAATAGGAAGTGGGTTGGTGGCTGTCAATATCTGTAGACAGAAGTTGAGCACAAACCAATAAAAACCATTGACAGTTATGCCAAGAGTGGAAAAGTGGTTACACATGCCTGGCATTCAGTTGGTGGTATTTTCCCAGGATCACATTTAGAACCCATGCTGTCCTTTTCAGAAGACAAATAAGAACTTTTTCTTTCTTTTTTTCATTGTTTTAATCTAAGTCAGAGGCTTAGAAATATAAGAGGTGATATGTGAAGAATTATGGACACCCAATGTCTATAAAGTCCAGTCTCTGGCATTCGATGAACTCTTATAGGATTTAATCCTCCTGGAGAATCCACATGTTTTTAGCCTAGACCTGGAGCAACTACCTCATTAATGGGAGAATGAAAGCACAAGTATCCCAAGATAAAAATTTCTCAGAGGTAAAACCACATTGGAGAGAAAAAAAGAGAAGACCATACATTAATCTGCTCATATCTGGAGTTGGAGGTACTATTGAGATGAGCAAATGGAAACCATAAATACATAAAGAAATGATATTGAAAATAGAGTACATTTGGAGATGAAGATCATGGAGCCATCTGTATAGAAGAGAGTAATAATGTCATTAAGGTGCATAAGAGTGCCAGCAAATGTCAATAAGAAAAACTACAGGAGGGAAGAAGATGGGAGATCCTGCTCCCCTTAACAAAGATAAATAAAATGCTGAGTGAGAAATATTGCAACCTCATAAATTGTCACATGGAAGTATGTATTTATAAATTACCTTATAATTAACATCCCTCAATGAGAACGATATTCTGAGAAAAAAAAGCAGAAAATATAGTTATATGGCTATCTAAAAATGTAAAATTTTGCACATTAAATTAAGATAATCTAGGAAAAATATGACAAGACCTATTACAAAAGAGCTTTTACAAATTGTTTGCTTTAATGATATTAATAACATAATGATAGCTAACATTTACTAAGCACATATTACATGCTAGACCTTAAGTCTTCTTCACATATATTTATAGTTCATGTTAGTTTTATAACAACCTCAGAAAGTTAATACTATAGTAACCTCACTCATTTATCCATGAGGAAACTGAGACACAGACAAGTAACTAGCCCTTTATCACGTATCTCGTTTGTGGTGGAGCCAGTATCAAAATGTAGACAATTTACTGCTGGAGCTCATTCTGTCTTCGGAGTTTACATGGATTCTAAGTCAGACCTTCAGATAGGAAGGTAAATGGTTATAAGCCAGAAGATTTCCACACTCTCACCAACATTGCACTGGCTTTTCTTTGGGTCTTGGCCAGAGGGTGAGCCCTTGTGACTATGCTTCACTGGTTGACTAGCTTTGAGTTGCACCGAGGACCAACATAGAGAAAGAAGGTCTTTGGGTTAAACCTGGGAGGATGAAGGGTAAAAAATGCAGAACTTAAATCTTGATCCCAAGGGATCATTTAAAGATGAATGAGTCTCCCTTAGAGGATGAGAAATTAAACATAAACTCTTTAACTTGCAGAGATGCTGAAGTGTTTTCCTCAAGTAGTAAACTTTGAATCATGGTTATATGCATGGGAGGGAGCCTATGGGGATGGAACATGGATGAAAAAGTGACAGGATGTTCAGGGGGCAGGTGCGGGCAGAAAATCAGCTGCCTCCAAGAGTGGTGAGAGAAGCTGTAGAGCATCCTTTATCCAGACTGGCACAACATGCAGTCCAGAAGGCTGTGAGATACGAGGAAAGGGTCACCATAAACTGCAACCTGACTATGTCAAAAATGACACTTGGAATCCGAGAGTGGGTATGTGTGGTGGTATCACAGATATACACCCACCCCATCCCCGCCCAACTGGGAGATAAGAGACTTACAGGTTTAGCACTTTCACCACTGGGACTAGAACCCTGGATTTAGCTAGAGGCTGGCTTAGACCTTTTCATGGTTCTTCTGTATGAACCACACAATTTAGAACCATACTATTTAGAGATGATCAATTTATACGACCTGCATAAAGCCTGTCTTTCCAGAAGAAGCTCAGGTTCAAAAAAAAAATTGATTCCTCTCTTGTCCTTCTCAATCTTCCCTCCTTCCTTCTTTCCTTTCTTCCTGCCTGCCTGCCTTCCTCATTAAGGATAGACATGAACTAGTCACCTGTATACTCTCTGAGGTATGCTGTTAGTGCTGACAACACATTAGTTCAACCTAGAAAAACTAACCCTGTTTTATTTTATCTTATCTGAGAGTCTGAGACCCCTCTTTGATCCTTAAAAACTTGCCAATTTCTTGCCAAGCAAATATGTGCAGGGTTTTAGAGAGCCGTAGGTAACAGAGACAAAATAGAAACAACACACAGAATTTGGAGGCAAAGCCTTTAGATCTCTAAAGCTTGAGGCCCCACTGCTGCTCTAAGCCTGCCTATGGCACCAGGTTCCTCTGCTATGAGTCCCTCTGCCTCCTGAGGGCAGTGAGTCCTGGGCGTAGATAGTCTGTCTGCCTTGGGCACTCACACTGTAGTCTGTTTCCACACCTTCCTCTGGTAGTCCAATATTCACCCCCATTTTCCTCTCTAGCCCCTGCTCCTACACTCTAGTCCCACAGACTCTGTGGATATCCTAATCACAGAGACAGAAACAGAGGTGACACTCAGATGTGAGTGATGAAACTTACAATGCTGTAAACAAGACTCAGGACTTAGACTGCCTACTGATGTTCATTCTTGTGCCATTTGTTCAGCAAATATGTATTTAGGAACTCCTGTATAACAGACCTTGTTTCCGGTTCTGGAAATAAGGTAATAAACAAACCAGAGAGACTTGTTTTAAACTCCTGGAATTTATAAACCAAAGAGATGTATGTGATGAGAACAGTACGACTCTGGATAAGAAGGAACCTGTTACCTTAACACTGGCCAGTGCAAACCCAGTCTGGCAGACATCTGTGATCCTCTAGACTTGTAAGGAATCCTATAGCTGTATAGCTCTTTGCATTTAAGGGCAAAACTGGACAAGACAGAACCTCACTCTCATGAATCCATGCCCTAAGAAAGAGAAGAAACTTCCCTCATAGGAACATTGGTGCAGTCTCGCAGTTTTCTTATCAAGTAGGAAAATTAGAACTGCTAAAACTTTGTGCCAGAATTTAAGACAAATAAATTGCCTGGATCATGCATTATTTACAATTATATTTACAATTATATACAGATATTTTCCCTAATATAAATCTGTTGATGAACCACTTATGTGGCATATAAATAGGACTTATTAAAAGTTAGATGCGGTGCTTTAGAAGATATATTAAAATTATTAGAGTCTGACTTAAATTTTTAATAGTAATACAAAATATAAAGTACCACAGCCTTGTTCAGAAGAAACAGGATTTCTGAAATCCACCAGAATAGCTTTCTAAAAGCCAGTATCTTATGGCCTTTAGTGGGCTGAAATACTTATAATGATGGATTGGAAAAATGGATGTTTGAGTGCATAAGGTTCACGAGTATAAGAAACAATTGGTACCTCCTAACTATAGATTGTCAGTTTCAGAGGATGAGAATGAATGTGCCCTCATCCTCATTTTAATTTTGAAAGACAATGCAGATATCCCTACTATAGAATCATTTTTTACATCACCACCTATAGAGATTAACAACAGTAGATGTTTCCAGCTCCCTAAGAGGCCAAGAAGTATTAACCCAAGGTCAGATTCAGGTAATTGATCGTGACTCACGAATTTTCAGAGATCCACAATGGTTGTTTTTAAATTTTCAGCAGTTATGTCTTTTTCTCTGGGGAGAGGGTATTCAAAGCTCCTCATGAGGCCATTCTGGACTACTTTTCCCCTCCTGCCCCCTGCCCATAAAACAGTTTACAGAAATAGGTGTCCAGACCGTGGGCTGTAGTTCACCAACTCCTGCTCTAGCCTAATTTTGTCTCATTACTAGAGCATGGCCATTCTGTGGATGCCAGTGAAGCCTTTCTGGGGTTTCTCTCCAATGCCTTTTAAAGCTTTTTCCTACACAGACACAGTTTACTGTTTAGCCAAAAAATTAAGATAATTCCTCCAGACATCTGGAGTTCTTGTGCAGCTTCCTCCTCTCTGGTGGTCTTTCCTTAAAAATTCTAGCTGCCTCAGCCCCCGCTGATTTTGTAACCTGTTTCCGCAACTCAAAATTTGCCATGCTCTGTTGCTCTCTTCCCCACTGTGTATGTGCAGAAATTGCCCCCATGTTTTGGTGTTTTGGCAGAATCCCAGTCCTGTGCTGTCTGCTTTCCAGTGGCTGAATACAATTGTTTCACATATTCTCTTAATTTGTGTTACTTGTATAGAGCAGGATGCTAAAGGCAATTGGATTCTACAAAGTGATCACGTCACAGAGAAGCCGCCGACAGAGGTGGAGAGAGCCACACAGATAGCCAGCTGCCTGTGCTGCCTGCTCTTCCCCTAATTCTGCCATGAGCCCAATATTCACCTGCATCACAATCCTTTGTCTGCTGGCTGCAGGTAAGTCCCTGTTCTGCAGTTGTCAGCTCCCTGCTCTAAGCCTTTCATCCATGTCATCGAACTCCCTCATGGGCTCAGTCTCCAACTCCTGTCTGCTTTCTTTACAGGTTCTCCTGGTGAAGAAGTCGCCCAGACTCCAAAACATCTTGTCAGAGGGGAAGGACAGAAAGCAAAATTATATTGTGCCCCAATAAAAGGACACAGTTATGTTTTTTGGTACCAACAGGTCCTGAAAAACGAGTTCAAGTTCTTGATTTCCTTCCAGAATGAAAATGTCTTTGATGAAACAGGTATGCCCAAGGAAAGATTTTCAGCTAAGTGCCTCCCAAATTCACCCTGTAGCCTTGAGATCCAGGCTACGAAGCTTGAGGATTCAGCAGTGTATTTTTGTGCCAGCAGCCAATCCACAGTGTTAAATATTAGCTAATCTTAGGACACAGACTCATCACGGACTCAGCTCAGGAAGCAGGTGGTATACTAGGTTGGAAGGAAATAACAGAAACTAGAGCTAGCTTAAGCCAAAGGGGAATGTATTATAAGGCTAAATGTATGTCCCATAGAACCACAAAGCAAGAACACAGGAACTTCCCAGAAATAAACTGCAATGAAACCTTAGAACCGGTGGCTCGCGCCTGTAATCCCAGAGCTTTGGGAGGCCGAGGCGGGAGGATCACAAAGTCAGGAGATCAAGACCATCCTGACTAACACGGTGAAACCCTGTCTCTACTAAAAAAAAAAAAAAAAAAAAATAGCCGGGCCTAGTGGTGGGCGCCTGTAGTCCCAGCTACTCGCTACTCGGGAGGCTGAGGCAGGAGAATGGCGTGAACCGGGAGGCGGAGCTTGCAGTGAGCCGAGATCGTGCCACTGCACTCCAGCCTGGACGACAGAACGAGACTCCATCTCAAAAAAACAAAAAACAAAAAAAAACCTTAGAACCATGGCATGGCTGATTGACAACTCATTTTTTATATACCTTGTCGGCCTCATTCTTTTATTATAAGTTGTCTTTTCTGTTTCTTAGGTCTTACAGTGATTAGAAAATTGCAGATTTAGGTGTTAGCCCTCCAGTCAATTGAGACCAACGTGACTTTCTCTCATGCTAGATTACAAATCCAGGGTGCAGGGGGAAAAAATGTGATCCTGCTTTACTCAAGAATGGGCTCGTGGAAATCCAAGGGAATTGAATTATTTTGAACAAGATAGTATCTGGGAGTCTGTCCCTCTGACCTTGTGGACCAAGGATTTCAAGGGGTGGAATCCAGTCAGAACATCCAATAGGCACCCATCACAAGTGAGAAGTTGGGGATAATACATTTTCTGGAATATAGAGACCTTGGGAAAAGAGAAGAGTTTGGAGAGGGGATCAAAACCTTATTATTTAGAACAATATCAGACCACGTAAAGAGTCTGGTTAATCTCTCTTTAAGAAATTAAACCGGCCAGGTGTGGTGGCTCACGGCTATAATCCCAGCACTTTGGAAGGCCAAAGCAAGCAGATCACCTGAGGTTGGGAGTTCAAGATCAGCCTGACCAACATGAAGAAACCCCATCCCTACTAAAAATACAAAATTAGCCAGGTGTGGTGGCACATGCCTGTAATCCCAGCTACTTAGGAGGCTGAGGCTGAAGAATTGCTTGAACCTGGGAGGGGGAGGTTGTGGTGAGCCGAGAGCGCACCACTGCACTCTAGCCTGGGCAACAAGAGCGAAACTCTGTCTCAAAACAATAAATAAATAAATAAAATAGAAGGAATAAAAAGAAATTAAACCTAGATAACACAAAAAGCATGTTCATTTTAAGTGTGACAACTTCAGATCCTACAAATTCACTAATTGGCCTCTATGGCACTGAAGGAGAACAGATTAATGTACTCTTGGTGTAAAACATATTAATGCACAGAGAATTAAAAGATCTTCAGGTATATGATTCAAATTGTAATGAGGGGCAATGTACTCAACATCAATATTCCTAATGAGGCATTATGGTATCAACTGTACCTAGGCAGGAGACTACACTTATGTTGAGCAGTTATAGAATTCAAAATAACTCTGTTAAAATTTGATAATCCATTCTGTTCACAGATCTGGTCACCACCTAGCATTCGCTTTGAGAGAAGTTCCTTTATTCTCTCCAGTTACATCTGCTCTTATTTCAGTATAAGTTGAACCCAGTTGTCTTACTTCCAGAAGTCCAAAGTTACTTCTTTTCTTGGGAAAAAAATTTACTGTGACTCCTGGAAACAGAAGTTCTCACTTTATCATTTTTCTGATCTATTTAATATTATACCTTCTCATTTTAAGTTCCTTTTCCCGCTCTCCAGAAGTGAGTGTTCCTTAGCGTTCTGTTCTCGGTCCCCCTCAAGCCCAGTCTTGCTGTTGGTGGTCTACATCTTTGCTTTTGTCACAGGGAAGTCACTCCTCTAGATGCTATCTTCAGCTTTTTCTTGAAATATTTCCATTCTACCAAAACTGTTCTCCTAAAGATTAAAATTACGTATTTCCCAGACCAAAAGACGCATGTGTGTTTCTTTGCCTGCTTGATCTCTTTGAAGCTCTTGACAATACTGACCATGCCCTAAGTCCTGAGCATTAATTTTTGCTCAGTTTCATTTACATCATTTTCAACTAGTTTCTCATTTTCTCTCTATTCTTTTTGTTTTCAATGCAGCTCCCAGAAACTAAATCTATCCATTTAATATTCTTTTTCCCAGGAAAATTCTTCTCATTCTATTTAAAGTGTAATATTCTAGTTTAATGGGAAAGTTTTTTGTTGTTGTTGTTTAGCCTTTTAAAAATCTCTACTGAAAAAATTTTGGATATGAAAATTAGCCAGGCATGGTGGCGGGAGCCTGTAATCCCAGCTACTCAGGAGGCTGAGGCAGGAGAATCGCTTGAAACTTGGAGGCGGAGGTTGCAGTGAGCTGAGACTGCACCACTGTGCTCCAGCCTGGGCAATGGAGAGAGACTCCATCTCAAAAAAAAAAAAAAAAGAAAAGAAAAGAAAAAATTGTGAAATGTGGTCTGAGACAACTTTTCTCAGTGTCACCTGAGGCATGGGTTAAACAGGTATATTCTAGGACAGGTTCAGAATTTCAGAGTCGAAATTTCTTGTTGGTGGACTTTAGGAATACGTATCATTGCTCCTGAGTATTTCTGTTAGTGCTGAAGTTCTGCCCCAAGGACTTCGTAAGATTAATAACATCGCAAATCTTCTGTAGTGCTTTAAAATTTTGTTCTTCATTTTTTTATTCTCACTTTCTTCTCTTTCCTTTTCCACTTCCTCTTATGTTTTCCTTAATCTTCAACTTTCCTAAGCACCTGCAAGTGGGATTGGAGCCTTGTTTAACATCGTCCATGTAGCAAAATAAGGATGAGGCCAAATATTTGAACCAAGGATCCCCATCTCCTATGGAAGGTGCCCTGAGGTTGTGGGTGTTGCTGGGGACATGATGTCATGGCCAGATCCTACATCATGCGGCCAAGGGAACCCAGAACTTTCACTGCTCTTTGCTACTGCACATCAGAACCCATCGCTGGGAGTGTCTTGCACTGCCTGACCTCACCATGGATATCTGGCTCCTCTGCTGGGTGACCCTGTGTCTCTTGGCGGCAGGTGGGTCCAGGTATACTTAAACATTTGCATAAAGATGTTTTTGGCTGGGCGTGGTGGCTCACAGCCGTAATCCCACCTTTTTGGGAGGTTGAGGTGAGTAGATCACCAGAGGTCAAGAGTTCGAGACCAGCCTGGTCAACGTGGTGAAACACCTTCTCTACCAAAAAATACAAAAATTAGCCAGGCGTGGTAGTGTGCTCCTGTAGTCCCAGCTACTTGGGAGGCTGAGGTGGGAGGATCACTTGAATCTGGGAGGTAGAGGCTGCAGTGAGCAGAGATCACGACATTTCACTCCAGCCTGGGCAACACAGAGAGACCCTATCTCAAAAAAAAAAGATGTTTTCTTTGGGCTTCCCTTCACCTTCTATGGCTTCCGTCTTCTTCCACAGGACACTCGGAGCCTGGAGTCAGCCAGACCCCCAGACACAAGGTCACCAACATGGGACAGGAGGTGATTCTGAGGTGCGATCCATCTTCTGGTCACATGTTTGTTCACTGGTACCGACAGAATCTGAGGCAAGAAATGAAGTTGCTGATTTCCTTCCAGTACCAAAACATTGCAGTTGATTCAGGGATGCCCAAGGAACGATTCACAGCTGAAAGACCTAACGGAACGTCTTCCACACTGAAGATCCATCCCGCAGAGCCGAGGGACTCAGCCGTGTATCTCTACAGTAGCGGTGGCACTGCATGGCTGAGTCAGTTCCCTCCAGGGTGCAAACCCTCTGGCTGCTCTTCTCCCAGTTGAACTCCAAGAAAACATTTGAAAAAGCCTCTTCCTTATCTTCCTACCCCAGAAGAAAGAAGCGAGTTGATTGTTGTGGCTGCAGCTGCTACCGGGAGAGTACAAGACCATGAATTAAGGTCTTAAATGGTCATGATGGGCACACTGGACAATGGGCTCCTGAAACTACCCAAATACAAAATGAGACATTCTGTGGATCAGGAGGAATCCACATGTTTAGAAGGAAGGGCCCCAGACCAATTTCCAAGTTCAGAGACCAGCTATCTGAGGTTGATATTACTTACCAAAACACAAAAACATTCCTACTGATTTTATCTCAAACACAGTTCTCCTGCAAACTCTTCCCCCACCAACGTACCCCAGCAGAGGCAATGACATGTACATTTATGGAACAGCCTGTTGACTACTGCAGATCCATCTCTTCAATAAGACCAACTTTCCCTGGAGGTCAGTGACTAAACCAAACCGCAAGGCAGACGGCAACACGACCCTCTTAGGGGATGGATGCCAGAGAAACACTGACTAAAATCCCCACTCGGGGACTGTCCTAGCACATTCAGTTCCTCACACAGCTGCCCAGGGGAGCGCGACGTTTTATTCTGTTACTTCAAACACTCATCTGTTCCTCTCTCTCTCTTGCAGGCCCTAGACTCACAGACACTGGAATTAGAGTCAGAAAAATTGCTTTCTAATCCCAAAACTGGTTTTGTTTACTCCCCTTCAGCTGTGAAATCTTGGCAAATGCTCTTACTTCTCTGGGACTCAGTGTCCTCCTCTTCAAAATTAGAGACTTGCTCCACTTAGTCTCTAAGATCTGATACAAATATGATTATTTGACTTGCTATTTATTTATTTATACAAATATTAGAATATTTATGTATACATTTAACATAAATATATTTATATTTAATAAAAACATAAAATTTATAACATTTTATATAAATTTATATCAATAATATATATTTATTGATATACTTATATCACATAAGAGATATATAAATATATGCAAATATATTTTATGTAAATTTTAATACAAATATAAAAAATACATTTTCTATATAAGTATATATAAATACTTATATATAAATGTATTTTATACATTTATATATAAATATATATATAAATATATATTTATATATAAATATATATATAAATATATATTTATATATAAATATATATATAAATATATATTTATATATAAATACAAATACTTATATATATTTATATATAAGTATTAATATATAAATATATGTGTTTATATATTATTATATATAAATAATATATAAATATATGTGTTTATATATTATTATATATAAATAATATATAAATATATGTGTTTATATATTATTATATATAAATAATATATAAATATATGTATTTATAATATTTATCTATTTATCTATCTACAGCTATTTTACACATGTGACAATCAGGGTTGCGATGGAAGACATCACTACAAGCTGGAAAATATGAACATAATTACATATGCAGATAACACAGATCCAGAGACTATCTGATTGCAAGGAACATTATAGATCACCCCTATATACCATAACTTTGAAGCTAATTTGAAATGTGGTTTGTGAAAGTATTATACATTTCCTGCAATCCCCTCCACTGCTGCTAGATGGCAGTAAAGGAACGTGTTAGAAAGTCTGGGGAGGGGACCTCATGATTTATTTACCGCGCAGTCATGATTTACCACGCAATCACGGTTTAGTCTTGTTGTCCTGTCATAATTAATAGTATCCTCTTTCACATACAAAAGTGTCTCAATTTGAACATTAAACTATACGGTCATTGTAGATAATGACACAAATGATAGCATCTCTGTTGAAAGTAAATTGTTTATTAATGTTGCAGTACCTTCATTTCTTTGTTTCGGTTTAATGAAATAGATTTTTTAAATTATAGAATAAATAAACACGAAGCTATAGCATTGGTCTGCTTTTTGTCATTTTACTATTTAAATATATCTCAGCCCTACTTACAGTTTGTATTAGCGATATATGGTGTATGAAGCCTCAACTTAAAAACTCAGCTTGGTCTTCGTAGTGCTTCTGTCACTGTCTGCCCAGCACCCACTGCCTCTCAATGTGTTCCAACGTTTCCCAATTCCTACCTGCTAATAAACCTACCAGGATATTTCCAGACCTATTTTCTCTGTGAAGAAAACCAAGCGACATTGACTTTCCCTCATTCATCTACTAATACATAAATGTCACCACATGCCAGTGACAACGGGGTAAAATAAGTAATAAAAGTGAAATAGGATAAAAGAATTGTTATACATTTATTGGCCTTCCGGAGAAATCCACCCTCTTCTCTCTAGTCTCCTGCGCACCCTGCCAACAATGTCATTGGCTGTAAAAATACCTCATGTTCATTTAACACTCTACAGTTTACTGAGTAATTTGTTGTTTTATTTTCATGCTTTAATTATATGTTTCCAGGTTCTCTGAGCTTTTGAGCTCCTGCTCTTCCCAGATGGGCTTTCATAACAAGGCCAGCCCCTTTCTCTCTCCCCTTCCGCCAGTGCCCATCATTTGAACCAAATTTTCTTCCTGTCTCTCTTACTTGATTCTTTCCCAACCTGTGCCTTCTGTTTGGTCTCTTAAAATATTTCCCTATTCAGTGATAACTCCCTTAATGAAGGCATCTTTATTGACTGCCTTGGAAATCCTCAGAATTATAGAAACATCTTTCATGTCCACCTTGGCATGTTTTATATGTTTCACATATATTTTCATAAATAATAAAAAAGTTATATATTTTCCATACGTAATAAAAATGTCCCTTCAACATGCGTAATATATAACAAGATTAGTGATCTTCCACCTAATGTCTTGGACAATGTGACTTCTGTCTGATAGGTATAGTCTTTGACCCCTACTTACTCATGATTAAAGAAATACCTTTCTCTCAAAGGAACTATCTGTGTTCACAGCGTTAAGTCTCATCCTGGATGCCGCAAGAAGACGTTCAAATGTCCACTGCCCACCCAGGTATGTGATGCTGCCTGCCATGGGTCACTAGAAGGTGATAGTTAAAAGTGTAGGCTCTGGAATCAAACAATGCAGACCACAATTCTGGCTCCTCTGCTCAAATGCTATGTGAACGTGAGCAAGACTGTGAACCTCTCTATGCCTCACTTCCTCACCTCTAAAATGAAGATAATAGTACCTACCTGAGGCTGAGCACAGTGGCTCATGCCTGTAAATCCCAGCATTTTGGGAGGCCGAGGTGGGTGGATCATCCCAGGTTGGGAGTTCGAGACCAGCCTGACCAACATGGAGAAACCCTGTCTCGACTAAAAATACAAAATTAGCTGGGCGTGGTGGCACATACCTGTAATCCCAGCTACTCAGGAGGCTAAGACAGGAGAATCTCTTGAACTCGGGAAGCGGAGGTTGTGGTGAGCCAAGATTGCACCATTACACTCCATCCTGGATGACAAGAGTGAAACTCTGTCTCAATAATAATAATAATAATAATAATAATAATAATACCTACCTGATAGTATTGGGTTAAATAAGATAATTCATGAAAATCCCTAGTGTGGTGCCTAAAACTCAAACGCTAATATACATAGGTTTGGCCTAATATTATGAGGTGTTATTATTTAGGATTGCTGTGCTTCAGCTTTTTGTTGAGTTTCACGGTTTGGCTCTTACTGGACCACTGACAGAAGCAACTCCATGACTGGTTATTCTGTCATTACCCCCAGATACTGTGCGATACCTTCCAAATCTACTACAAACAACGAGTGTGCATTTCTCTTGCTTGTTCCATCCAAGAGGAAAGAGATCTGTCCAGAGATGTCATTCTGCTTCAGTCAACCCAGCCGTGCCAGACAATATCAGCATAAATGTCAAAATTACCATATGTGGTCAACATATGCTGATACTGTGACCATATGCTACATGGGACTTGTTCCCTTAATTGTGAATAAGAGAACTATTCGTGTAGGTGTTATTATCCCCAATTTTATAGGCTCAGAAAGAGTAATAATTGGTCCAATGTCTCACAACTGTATGTTTCATGGCAAAGATTGGAAATGAAGCAATAACTTTTTTCTAGTAAAATTACAAGAATGACCTTAATTTCTTTCTAAGCAAACGTAGTGTATCATCACAACAGTTATGTTAAATCAGCTCAATAATCTCCTAGAAGAACATATTATAATATTCATTAGAGGTGGTATGGGCTTTAAGAGGGAGAAAAAACTAGGCAGGATATTGCTATACGTGAAGTACCATGCTAGATATTTCACATATGGTATTTCATTTCATCCATACCAGCAACCCAAAATTATGTTATTTATCCCTGTTTTACTAACAAAGAAATTGAAGTTTAAGGAGGGTAAGTGCAGGATGAACACTAAGCCAATTGTAGAGCTGGCTTTTGTAATCAGGGATTTTATTTAATTCGATTTGCTCTACTATCATCATGTTGAATTAAGAATGGCAAAGGGCTGGGTGCACTGGCTGACACCTATAGTTCTAGCTACTCGGGAAACTGAGGCAGGAGGGTTGCTTGATCCCAGGAGTTCGAGGCTGCAGTGAGATATGGTCATGCCACCGAACTCCAGCCTGGGTAACAGAATGAGACCCTGTCTCTAAAAATTTAAAAAAAAAATAAGAAATTTTCAAAAAAGAATAAAAATTAAAATATATATATATTTTAAGGCTGGGTGCGGTGGCTCACGCCTGTAATCCCAGCACTTTGGGAGGCTGAGGCGGGCGGATCACGAGGCGGGAAATCAAGACCATCCTGGCTAACATGGTGAAACCCCATCTCTACTGAAAAATACAAAAAATTAGTCGGGCGTAGCGGCGGGCGCCGGTAGTCCCAGCTACTCGGGAGGCTGAGGCAGGAGAATGGCATTAACCCAGGAGGCGGAGCTTGCAGTGAGCTGAGGATCATGCTACTGCACTCCAGCCTGGGCGACAGAGTGAGACTCCCTCTCAAAAACAACAACAACAACAACAACAACAAAAATTTAAAAAAATGTGTGTGTGTGTGTGTGTGTATACATATATATACTTTTTTTTTTTTTTTTAAAGAATGAGAAAGGAACTAGAACAAGCAGAGAGAAAAAGCCCAGGGGCACGACAGCTAAAGGATGACTAATGGAAGTTGAAAATAGGAAGCTGAAAGGTACAGAAATACTGCGGGAAGACAAACTACAAATTATGTGGAGAAAGACAAGAATAAGAACAGTTCCCAGAGGTCTGAACACAGCACATTATGTCTTCTTGCTATACAGTGGCCACCAAACTTGTCAATACTGTAGGCAAATGCTAGTGTCATTGCTTGTGGCTAAGCAGAAATTTTGACACTTGGGAAGGTTGGCATGAGATTGAACAGTTGCCATGGTGACCTGCCATAGATATTTTGATTGATGATGAGTAGACACAAAGTGCCAATGCTTAAGACCTAGCTTCAGATACTTAGGATTTAGTGGAGAGGCTGTTTTGACTATTTCTTTTCTTTTCTTTTCTTTTGAGACAGAGTGTCGCTCTGTCTCCCAGGCTGGATGGAGTGCAGTGGCACGATCTCGGCTCACTGCAAGCTCTGCCTCCCGGGTTTACGCCATTCTCCTGCCTCAGCCTCCCGAGTAGCTGGGACTACAGGCGCCCACTACCATGCCCGGCTAATTTTATGTACTTTTAGTAGAGACCGGGTTTCACCGTGGTAACCAGGATGGTCTCCATCTCCTGACCTCGTGATCCGCCCACCTCGGCCTCCCAAAGTGCTGGGATTACAGGCGTGAGCCACCACGCCCGGCCTGACTATTTCTGACATCTGACTTAGGCTGCACAGGAGGTGGGGTTTCTTGACAGGGAGGAGCTAATGTAGGGACTGTGATGTGCCAGGCTATTTGGGTTGGGGTGGAGAAACCACAGAGAGACAGACATAAGCTCTCTCCCTTATTTATAGGACATACCTACTGGTCCTGCCCTAGGCCCCAGATTCTTTGTTAGTGGCCTTTTCTACTGGGAGCAGGTGGGGCATTCCAGTTTCAGGTGTTCTGGGACCTGGCTTGCAGTTTTTCACTGATGGCTGCATCATTAGGCTCGCTCTTTTGCCCTTTCCTCAGTTCCTGTCTTTTTTTCACTTTCAGTCACCTAGAAACGACAATATCCAATCAGAAGTTGAGAATGAGACAAGTTTGGGAAGACATTGAGGAATGTCTCATATTGTGGTATTGATAAATCTAGAGATGGGGCCACAGCTTGCTTATAGCTGCTTAGAGTAAAATGATTAATCAGAAAAAGTAATTTCCAAGGATTTGTAGTCAGTCTGCCTGAGGCTAATACATTTATTCACAGCAAAATATCTGCTGCCTAAAATGACTCTGCAAGTTACCCCTACAATACCAGCTACTCAGAGTGATGCAATCACCTGGTTGCAATAGGAAATTATCCTGGCTTCAGTTATCTAGTAGAACAGGTGTACATATCAATCTTAGAGCTCTTGAGAAGACCCAGTAGCCCCAGACCCGTGCAATTATATTATAAGCACTCAAGTAACTTCTCAGCTAAAGGAAGAATGATGAAGCAGGAAAGAGAGAAAAATGATTTGTATTTTTTGTGGTTAACTTGCTTAGAAATTTTAGGGAGGATAAACTCAATCTTGACTAATAGGAAATTTAATTAATTTAGAGAGTTATTAAATAATAGCTCCTCCACATCAGGGACTATGATAAATGTTATTAACAACACAAAGAAGAATAAGACTTTCCCTTCTAGGAACATACCATTTAGTGGGAAGAAAGACAGACAGATACACACACACATACACACACACATGCACATACACTTAAACAGAAGTGGTAGAGGCTGAGGGAAATCCCATAAGATAGACATAAAGAAAGTGCTCCATTTGCTCAGAGTTAGAGGTGAAAACCAAGAATATTGGCAGAAAAGAATGTTTTAAAGCAACTTTGAATGATTCTTCCAATGATATTGGAATTAGAAAATGAAGGTTTAGGCAGAGTGGGGAGCAGGACAGTCACTGAAGTGGGAAGGCACACATGGGCTCAGCAAAACCGGAGCACAGTGTAATATCATTAGGGGTGAAGTCAAGAAAAGTAGCTTAAAATTAAGCCATAGAGAATCCAAAGATTTTAAATTTTCTTTTGATTTCAAAAATGATCTTTTCATATTATTGAGCCAGAAAATAATTAAGTCATCTATATATTAGACAAAGTTGTCAAAAGCAACTAAATGGAGGGATGTTAAAATGGGAAAGAAAAAAGCTAGCACATTTAACCTATAGCTAACAATACTGTATTATACACTTAAAAATGTGTTAGCAGGGTAAGTCTCATAGCACAAACAATAAAATAAATTTCTTAAAGAAAAAGTTAACTATTGGAATAGCCTAGACAAGAAATTATGAGGCTTTGAACTGAAACAACAGGAACAGAATTTGAAAGAGGAGAATAAACCCTTGGGATACAGAATGAACAAAATTTTAACACTGTCTGCTGTAAAAAGTGAGGGAGATCAGAGGGATTAAGGTGACCCTTGGATTTCAAGAATAAAAATATGGCCAACAAATCCAGGGAACACAGATGAAAGAGAATATTCAATAAAGAAGACATACAAATTCAAATGGGGTCATTCTGAAATTGTGGCACATTTGAGATATCCTCATATCTATCCTTATAATCAAAACAAACTCACTATCTGCTCATTCTATGACCAGTGACCTCACTCACTGCTGCCTTATACTTCAGGGCTTACACGTAGACACACACACACACAGGCACACACACACACACACACACACACACACACACACACTAAGAAAAGTAGCTTAAAATTAGACCATAGAGAATCTAAAATTTTAAAATTTAGAACAGATCTTCATCTGAGCCAGGAACCATTCATCTATGGCTTCTGTCATTTAATAGAATAAACAAAATCTGCATATGAATCCATGCAGAACTCCAAGTTCAGCATGGTTTCTCACTGTTCTCAGAGCTGGTACCTGAAGCTGCAGGTGTGCATTCTCTGCCACACTCTGTAATGGATGAGTGGAAATTCTTCCATAAAGCTTTTGTCTATTGGGAGCAGGTAAGTCTAGGCAAAGTATGCACAATTTTTTTTTCTGGGATACCCAGTGGAAAAAAATAGAAAAGCATCATTTTTAAAGTACTGAAAGAAAAAAAGTCAACCTGAAACAACCTCATTCTAGCCAGGGCAATTAGTCATTTCAAGAAAATAAGAGACAATCAGACTAGAAAGGAAGATATAAAACAATCTCTAACTACAGTTGACACTTGACATAATCTTGTATATAGAAAATATGAATTCTCACACACATACACATGTACACAGACAACTCCACTAGATTTAATAGGCAAGCTCAGCAAGGTGCAGAATAAAAGATTGATACCAAAAGTTCTATTGTATGTCTGTATGTTAGCAATGATATGAAAATGAAATTAAGAGCAGAATTATGTGTATAATTCCAACAAAATAATAAAATATCTTGGCATAAATTAAACAACAACAAAAAAAAAAACAGAAAAGACTTGTGGGCTGAAAGGTGCAAAATATTGTTGAAATTAAAGACCTAATAGAAAGATACTCCATGTTCATGGGTTGGAGGGCTTAACATTGTTAAGTGGCAACACTCCCCAAATTGATTTATAGATTCATCTCTGTCAAAATTTCAAAATTCTAGTTGTATTTTTTTTTTGGAAACTGATAAACCAAAGTAAAAATTCATATGGAAGTCCCAAGTACCAAGATCAGCCAAAACAATGTTGTAAAAGTAGAAAAAATGTTGGGCAACTCACACTTCACAATTTCAAAGCTTATTACTAAACTACATTATTCAAAACAGTATGGTTCTGGAACAGGATAAACATATAAATCAATGGAATAGAATTGAGAACCCTCAAATAAATTCATAAATTTATGGGCAATTAATTTTAGACAAGAGTGCCAGCCAAGACCATTCAATGGGGAAAGAATGGTAAATGGTACCAGGAAAACTGTGTATGTATGTGTAAAAGAGTGAAGTTGTATCTTGTCTCATACCATAAACAAAAAATAACTCAAAATGAATTAAAGACCTAAATGTAGAAGCTAAAACTCTTGGAAGAAGGCATAGGTATACATCTTTGTGACCTTGGTGTGTATGTAACCAGCAGCAAATCCATATGGGTCTGCAGTAAACTCAATTCTAGCTCCTAGGAGGAGAGAATTTGGCCAAGGGGCAGAAAGAAGTTTAAGGCAGAGGAAAAGACCCGGGCAAGTTTTAGAGTAGTAGTAAAAGGAAGCAAAGTATACTTGGAAGAGGGCCAAGCGGGTGACCTGAGAGACCTAAGGGCCCTGTTTAGCCCTTGACTTAGGGTTTTACACATCACCATGGTTCTAGGGTTTGTGTTTCTCCTCCCTTGATGTTTTCACCTTGGGGCAAGCTGTCTGTGTGCTCAGTGGCCTGCCAGCACTTGGGAGGGGCTGCTCATGTAGTGTTCTTACTGGAGTTGCGCACATGCTCACTTGAGGCATTTTTCCCTTACCAGTGGGGTGTTCCTAGAGTCATATGTTAGTTAAACTCCGTCATTTAGCCTCTGTGCACATGCTTGAGCCCACTCGCCCAACTCCAGAGATCTTATCGGGAAGCTGCTGATTACAAGCTCCAGATGTTTTTTTATCTATGTGGAAACTGTCTTTCCCGGATGCTGGTTGTGACTAATTATCATCTTTGAGAGACAGTTTAACAACCACCTGACCATCACCTGATGATCACCTGACATTCTGGAGTGTGTGTGGTGGGGGTCGGGGGGAGGGGGGAGAGGGGGTCTCTTCTCCTGCCCTCTTCATATCTGCCTACCTATTCTAACAGGTATACATGAAGCAGATTCGCTGTGCACTGTTACTAATTCCAGGGGATTGTGTTAATTTTCCAGGGAGAAATGCATGAAGGATAGTGGAGGTCATCACCATGCCAACCACCACTTCACAGCCCACTGCATCTTGAACTGCAATTTCCATCACTTGCCTGATTCATATAACAAGTTGAGCAAAGCAACTTTATTACTCACAGACAGGCAGCAAAGGACAGTAGAAGCTTAGGATTCATGGTGAGTTTGTCTCTCAAGGCTCAGAAAAACTACACAGGATGGATAGAATCTTGCCTGCATATGCCTCATGTTGCATTGCAGCTGAGTGGCTCTGAAAGTGCACTCTGTCCTGGGTTTTAAACCCAGGGGCTACATTTAATGGGTTAAAGCACTGTGGGACATCCTGTTCCAGGAGAGACAAGAACAGAGGCCAGGATTTTCCTGCCAGTTCCTCATTATCACAGGATGTGGTATTGCTAGCACATCCTACAGTTATTCTTAAGAACTATAAAAGAGAAAAGGGAGATCCACATTGCCAAGGCCATCCAGGGACTTATCCTTCAGAGTAGGCAGTGACTTCTTAAATATGAAACTCAAAACACAGGCAACCAAAGAAAAAGATAAATTTGACTTAATAACATTTTTTAAAGTCTGTGCTTCAAAGGACACTTTCAAGAAAGACAACCCCAAAATGGATATATACTTGCAAATCATATATCTCACAGGGAATTGTATCAAGGATATATAAAGAACTCTTACAACTCAATAATATAAAGACAAATAACCTAATTTAAAAATGAGAAAGGATCTAAACATGTCTCCAGAGAAGATCTGCAAATGGCCAAAAAATACATGAAAGATGCTCAGCATCATTAGTCGTTAGTGAAATGCAAATCAAAATCACAATGAGATACCACTTCACACCCAGTAGGCTGTAATAAAGATACCCAGACAATAGCAGGTGTAGGCATAGATGTGAGGAAATTGGGACCCTCAAGAATTGCTGGTGCCATTGTGTAAAACAGTCCAGCAGTTACTCAAAAGTTAAACATAGAATGACCATGTAACCCAGCCATCCCTCTCCTAGGTATACCCCTCAGACAATAAAAAATATGTTCACGTAAAAAATTTATACACACACTTCAAACAGTATTATTCATATTACTCAAAAAGTGGAAATATCCATCAATTGATGAGTGGATTAACTAAATAGGTTTTATTTCTAAAATAAAACTGGTGATAAAAAGGAACAAAGCACTGATACATGCTATACCATGGATGAACATTGAAAAGCTATATAAAGTGAAGAAGGCAGGCACAAAGGGGCACATATTGTTGGACTTCATTTATATAAAATGTCTAGAATAGACCGGGTGCAGTGACTCACGCCTGTAATCCCAGCACTTTGGGTGGCTGAGGCAGGCGGATCATGAGGTCAAGAGATCGAGACCATCCTGGCCAACATGGTGAAACCCCGTCTATACTAAAAATACAAAAATTAGCTTGTAGTGGTGCGCGCTCGTAGTCCCAGCTACTCAGGAGGCTGAGGCAGAAGAATCACTTGAACCCGGGAGGCAGAGGTTGCAGTGAGCCGAGATCGCACCACTGCACTCCAGCCTGGCAATAGAGCAAGACTCAGTCTCCAACAACAAAAACAGAGTCTAAAATAGGCAAATTCTTAAAGACGGAAAATAGATTAATGATTGCCATGGGCTGTGGGAAGGAATAAAAGTGAAATGACATCTAATGATAAAGAATTTCTTTCTGGGGTGATAGAAATATTCTGGAATTCATGGTGACAGTTACAGCTTTGTGAATATACTAAAAACCACTTAATTATATATTTGAAAGGGTGGATGTTATGGTATGCAAATTATATTTCAATTTTAAAGAAAATGTCAACACTCAACATGAAAATATTCAAAATTACAGCTCCAACATCAGAATAAAGACTATATTTTTGGATCTCTAGGATTCTGATATGAGTAAGACCATGAGTCATTATTATTTGGACACTAAATGTTAACATGATCTTATTTATTATTCAAGTCATACACCTAACTCCTCTGGGGTGCCTATCCAATGGAGTGAGATTGTGCCTTGTTTCCTGTATCTTTCTTTCACTACTCCTGGGACAAAGTAGACTTTCACATAATTTTTATTCAATGCTGCAGGATGAGAAAGGACAGAAAAATGGGAGGAAGAGGCTGGGCGTGGTGGCTCACGCCTATAATCCCAGCACTTCAGGAGGCCGAGGTGGGCAGATCATGAGGTCAGGAGATCGAGATCATCCTGGCTAACACGATGAAACCCAGTCTCTACTAAAAACACAAAAAATTAGCCAGGCGTGGTGGTGGGCGCCTGTAGTCCCAGCTACTCGGGAGGCTGAGGTAGGAGAATGGCGTGAACCCAGGAGGTGGAGCTTGCAGTGAGCCGAGATCACGCCACTGCACTCCAGCCTGGGTGACAGAGTGAGACTCTGTCTCAAATAAATAAATAAAAAATAAAAAGGGAGGAAGGAAGATCTCTCAAACACAGGCATCCCATGCATGACTACAGAGAATGATACAGATAGGTATGCAGAATAACGGGACCTGAGGTCAGAGGGGGAAGTCTTTTTAGAGTTTGTTCTTTGAATCACTTATATTGAAAATTCAAGTGGAATAAGTGAAGGTGACAAAAGTGAATTACAAATCTTAAAGTTCCCTGAAAATGCTTGAAGCCATCCCTTAGCTGAGGTGTGGGAGTGAAAAAGCAAACTGAGACAATGTGAAATCATTTTCTATCTCGAATTTTCCCTCCAGCAATGTTGGTGTCCACTTCCCTGTCTCTTAATGGGTGCATCTATATATCACCTCTTGTCAATACCTCTACTCAGCAACAGCCAGAAAATAGAAAGATTATATAAGCCAATAAAAGGAAAATAAAGGAACAAAAAATAAGAATAGTGGAGAGATCATCTACTTGGGAGGCTGAGGTGGGGAGGATTGCTTGAGCCCAGGAATTTGGGACCAGCCTGGGCAAACAGCAAGACCCCATTTATGAAAAAAATGAATAACATTATCTGGGTATGGTGGCTTGTAGTCCTAGCTACTTAGGAGGCTGAGATGAAGGACTCACTTGACTGATCCTAGGAGATTGAGGCTGTAATGAGATATGATTGCACTGCTGCACTCCAGCCTGGGCAGCGGAGCTAGATCCAGTCTTGAAAAAAAAAAAAAAAAAAAGGTGAAGAGGGAAAAAAAAGAACGAGTAATAGAGGTGCTTACTTCACAACACTAACCTCACAAACACACACTAAGCTAGGTTGTGTGTATAGGTCAGAACAAAAGATCTACCATTTAACTGACATATAAGATTGGTTCTCGAAACCATAGGACCCACTGGAAATGGTGACCTCACAGGAAGATGCATCTTGTAGGAGGCAGCTGTGAGGTCTGGTTCCCCGACGTGCTGCAGCAAGTGCCTTTGCCCTGCCTGTGGGCTCCCTCCATGGCCAACTCTGCTATGGACACCAGACTACTCTGCTGTGCGGTCATCTGTCTTCTGGGGGCAGGTGAGTTTTCAGCTAAAGGATCACCATCACTGGGCTTTGTTTTGGGCTCTACAGCAGATTCTCAAATATACCCTGGACCTCTGTGTTGACCAAATATTTTGTGAAAGGTATTGACATTTATATGAAAACAAATAATTGCATTATGGAGTAAAAAGCAAAATTCATGTGAGTTTTTAAATGAACGCAGGAGACTTCAAACAGGCTCCTTCACTGTAAGACATTCATCCTTCTGCCATTACAACTCTGTCTCATGCAGTCTCTTCTCCTCTGAGGTCTCTCAAATGCCGGCGTCATGCAGAACCCAAGACACCTGGTCAGGAGGAGGGGACAGGAGGCAAGACTGAGATGCAGCCCAATGAAAGGACACAGTCATGTTTACTGGTATCGGCAGCTCCCAGAGGAAGGTCTGAAATTCATGGTTTATCTCCAGAAAGAAAATATCATAGATGAGTCAGGAATGCCAAAGGAACGATTTTCTGCTGAATTTCCCAAAGAGGGCCCCAGCATCCTGAGGATCCAGCAGGTAGTGCGAGGAGATTCGGCAGCTTATTTCTGTGCCAGCTCACCACCCACATTGATGCAGAGCCACATCCTCTCAGTCCACAAACATCCTCCAGACCTGCCTTGGAAACAGCGGTGGGCCAGGAAGGGAAACGCGTTACCTGTACAGTGAACAGGTCAGCTCTACGGTATTCTGCAAGTTGAGGGTGGAAATAGGGGAGGATTGTAGGAATAGCATGAAACATCCCAGGCTACGCTCAGAAACTAAGACTCTGTCATCCAAAGAACATAAAGATTTTTAAGAACTAGACATAATTTTTCAGTTTCAACATTGACTTAATTTGTCAGTTTCAAAACACTTAGCAGTGTAACTCTGTTTTTTACTCCACACTGTATGTCAAGTTCTATATTTCATGCTTTACATCAATAATTTTATTTAATCACCAAGACACACAAGCAAAGGAAGTGCTTTCTTCCTTTTCACCAAGAGAAATTATGGTCCTAGGAGTTAATTTTTAGAAAGAAAGAGACAGAGAGATGGGGGAAGAAAGGGGAGGGGAGGGGACAGGAGGAGAAGGGAAGGGAGGGGAAGGGAGGGGAGGGGAGGGGAGGGGAGGGAAGGGAGAAGGAAACCTAGTAGGTGGCAAAAAGCATTTGGCTCAAAGGGTTATGATTTTTATCTCACATCATGCTGCTTAGCATTCTTTTAGGCATAATCCTTGTTCTGTTCCTTGCTGAGTACCCGTGCAGGTTTTTACGGATGCTAGGTTCAAGAATTCCTGCTATAAAATTATAGAACATCTGAGAGATGATGGAAATAGAGTTGGATAAATTTGTCTAGAATTTAGGGAAAAGGTCTGGCCCACAGATATTGTTCATTAGAAATGTGTCACCTCAACTTTTTGTCTTAATGTTTGTTTTTATTCTCATCACTCAACAGATATAGGCCACCTACAGAAAAAGATTTGTTATAATTTGCTTTGATGAAACAATTTCATAAAATCAAAAGGCAGACAAAAGCAAAGTCATTTCAAATATATGTGCAGACTAAGTCCAGCCTCACCAGCTTGGAGTATAAACCATGTGATTCCACTGCAGTTTTTGCCCTTTGATTTTCTAAAATCATTTAATGTACTCCTGCCCCTCCCTCACTTTACCCAAAAGGAGAAAAACCCAGAAAATCTTCCAGGAAGACAGAAGAGGGACACCGGCTTGGGAGCCTGAGAAAGATCCAGAGAGATTTCCAGAAAAAGACCAACCCTGAGACCCCAGCAAGGCTGCAGAGAAGATGGATTCCAAACTTCATGCCATTTAAAGCACCAGACATGTAATTTAAAGAAACAGTCTTCCAAAGGTAGTGCTTTACAGGGAGGGGAAAAAAAGGCAAAGAGGAAGAAAGAGGGTCTTCTGGCAATTCAATAGTGAGGAGAAAAAGAGGAAAAAGGGGAAAACTGAGAATTCTGCAAAACAAAAGGAAATCACAAATCAAGAGGACCCACAACCAGCCCCACTACGAAAACAAACAAAGCTCACTAAGGAGTCTGGATTTTGCTAGAATGATGGCCAAAGGAACATTAGACTAGGAATTTTGTAAAACACCTCAATAACACGAAAATGAGCAAGATGAAAGTAATACCCGTACAACAAAGGAAAACATCTCACCTCTGTTCCCTGTTCCCTCATCTCAAAAGCAATCATGAGTCAGAAGATAATGTAAGTCTACACTCCAAACAGAAATAAATACACTCAAGGAAGCAGCTGAGGATATAAGTGACCATAACCAGACCAGGACTTTAAAAACTCAGACTACAAATGGCCAAAATGGGAAGACATCAGAAAAAAACACAAATTGATTGAACCCAGGAGGGACATGAAAGAAAAAGACAAAGTTATCCCAGTCATGAAAAATAAAAGATGACCAAGGGAGAATAAACCCAAATGAAAATTTAGTCAGGACATTGAACAAAGGCAAAGAAACAAGTAGCAGAATGAGAAGGACATGAGTGAAACCAGCCAGTTAGAAGGCGGTCAAAGAAGGCGAGGTCTTGGTATGATTGCATGAGGGGCCTGGAACAGCAGCACTGGGCTCTGTGCAGCAGGACGGCTAAGCAGCAGGTTGTCACAGTGGCCACAGCACTACTGGCCAGACCCCAGGAGTCACAGTTTCCCTGAGAGAGCTGAGGGCATAAACAATGATAAGTTCTCCAGGGGATGGACTTCTTAAATACTCTGAGTTCATCATTACACATTCTATGCATGTAGCAAAATACCACAGGCACCCACAAATAGGTACACATATTATGTATCAATGTTTTTTTAAAAAAAGGAAAAATAAATGAATTCCACATTCTTGTATAATCAGAGTATCTACAGCGCTCCTGGAGTAACCCAAACCTTATGGTTGCTGGAAAGATAAAAAACCAATGGGCCAATTGGGGTGAAACTCTGGCCCGGAAACGTGGGGTGCCAGCCCCCTCAGCACAGATGCAATGCAGAGTTATGGGAGGTGCGAATGACTCTGCTCTCTGTCCTGTCTCCTCATCTGCAAAATTAGGAAGCCTGTCTTGATTATCTCCAGGAACCTCCCACCTCTTCATTCCAGCCTCTGACAAACTCTGCACATTAGGCCAGGAGAAGCCCCCGAGCCAAGTCTCTTTTCTCATTCTCTTCCAACAAGTGCTTGGAGCTCCAAGAAGGCCCCCTTTGCACTATGAGCAACCAGGTGCTCTGCTGTGTGGTCCTTTGTCTCCTGGGAGCAAGTGAGTCCTGGGTTCAGGGAGAAAATTCCTATCTGGAGTGCTGCAAGTTCCAAATCTAAGGCCTCCCCGAGGGACAGCAGCATCAGGCGCCTCCCTGGGCTGTACTCAGGCATGCCTCTCTTTCTTTTCCAGACACCGTGGATGGTGGAATCACTCAGTCCCCAAAGTACCTGTTCAGAAAGGAAGGACAGAATGTGACCCTGAGTTGTGAACAGAATTTGAACCACGATGCCATGTACTGGTACCGACAGGACCCAGGGCAAGGGCTGAGATTGATCTACTACTCACAGATAGTAAATGACTTTCAGAAAGGAGATATAGCTGAAGGGTACAGCGTCTCTCGGGAGAAGAAGGAATCCTTTCCTCTCACTGTGACATCGGCCCAAAAGAACCCGACAGCTTTCTATCTCTGTGCCAGTAGTATAGACACAGTGAAGCACGGATGTCGCCTCTCTGTGCATAAATGTGCCCAGTCCTGCTTCCCCGACCAGGTGGCAGGGCTCCTCTGCACTCTATGATGGCAGGAAACGCCACTCAGCCACTAAGCAGGTTTAAAAAACTGTATATAACTAAAACTCTATATATAAACTATGCATATAAAACTAAACTATATATGTATACATTTATATATAACTAAAACTTTATATGAGACTAAAATGATAGTTTTATATAGTTTTTTAAAGTATAGTTTTATATATATATAACTATATATATATATCATTTTTTAAACTATAGTTTTGTAGTTTTATTTATTTATTTACTTTTTGGAGATGGAGTCTCACTCTGTTGCCCAGGCTGCAGTGCAGTGGCATGATCTCAGCTCACTGCAATCTCTGCCTCCTGGGTTCAAGCAATTTTCCTGCCTCAGCCTCCCAAGTAGCTGGGATTACAGGTGCATACCACCACACCTGGCTAATTTTTGTATTTTAGTAGAGGCAGGGTTTCACCATGTTGGCCAGGATGGTCTCGAACTCCTGACCTCAGGTGATCCACCCACCTCGGCCTCCCAAAGTGCTGGGATTACAGGCATGAGTCACCGTGCCTGGCTGTTTTATAGTTTCATATAGTTATTTTTAAAAACTATATAAAAGTTTTTGTATAGCCACTTAGTGGCTGAGTGAAGTTTCCTGTCATATATGATATAGATATAGATATGTTTATATATGATATAGATACAGATATGTTATATATATGTTATATGTTGTATATAAGATATATACATAGAGAGAGAGTCAGAGAGACACAGAGAAGAAGGAAAAGTTAATCTTACAACCCCCAGCTTTTTTCTATTTTACCGAATGCTAGATGAATAGATGGATGAATGAATAGAAATGAATGAATGAATAGAAAATTTTCCCTTCTTTCAGGAAGATAAAAAAGCCTGTGGAAAGAGAGATGTAGAAGACAAACCCTGTAATCACAATTTCATATGACGCGTGCTTTAATGAGAGACGTTAGTGGAGTATAGGAAGTAACACGGCCAATTCTGTCTGGTGACATCAGGAAGGGCGTCAAACAGAAAGCAAATTTTGAGATGAAAGTTATTATTCAAATTTCACCAGATGGGCAAGTAGGATTTCACCAGATGGGCAAGCACCAAAAGAGGGAGGCAGGCTAAGGGAACTATGAAAGGAAAGAGTGATGAGATAATACCAGGAAAAAAATTATCAACACTCCCTCCTCCACCGGAATATGGCAATGGAGGAAAATTTGGACAAATGAATGGAGTCAAGTTATTGAACAAAACTGAGTTTCTTGTTCTAGTGGTCCTTCATTGGATATCTGTGTAGAAACATCCAAGAGGCTCCGTAAGTGCAGGTCTGGCACTTAGAAGAGAGGGTTGGGCTTGAGAGAAATGTTTGAGTGATAGTTAAGCACACAGGTGTGAGTAAAACTTCCCAGGTGATCTTGTCTTCTATGCTTTCTCTCTTTATGCTCTGCCACCTATGCCTTGAATTAGAAGGTAAGTGGTGTAAGTGGTGTTATTTCTTATGTTGACTTACACATGTCTATTTGATCATATAATTACATTTCTGGAAATTGATGTTTCTATGTTATTCTTCAAATACAACTAAAACTGCTGGTTGAAAATTTTTGTAAAATATTGTCAGAAGCATCAAATAACCTTAGTCTGTCCTGCTGTATTGTCCTTTTTTTCCAGGGATAAGAAATTTTTAGAAAAATATGAGTCCCTGTCCAGAATACACAAGCCTTGGCTCCACGAATTTTCTTCGAATTATTTCCTGGATTCTGTGTTTAGCTTTGGATTTCTTCTTCTACATAGCCTATGGGAGTTTGACTCACACAGAGTCCCACAGAAACCAAAATACTAAAACATAGAGATGGAAAAGACAGTTCTCCCTGAAAAGGATCTAAAGAACATTAAAACATGGTATCATGAGAACTACAACCAGTCATTGAAACTAATGTTTTCTGACGGTAGTAAGTAAAACACTGGAAATGAGATGGCTCTAAGCTACTTCACTTTGAACGTTCAGACCATATTCACAGATGCCTACACATCAGTCATTCTCTGAGCCAGAGGATGGAGCCAAGGACCTTCATGGCGGTGGGAAAGACACAGTCCCATAGTGCTATCTGTGCCCTGTATACAAGCCATTTTCCAGAGGTGATGGGATTGGGAAAGACTGTCTGTCCAATGAGAGGAAGAAAACGAAAGGGAAGACAGTAAGAGATAGACAATCTTGTTTTTCCTTGTTTTTCTTGTCCGTGACTAGAATGGACACAAATTCCTTTGTTTCAGTTGAGGAATTTATTAAAGCAGGGCATAAGAGCTTAAATAGACTTCAAAAATTCTACTGTAAAACTATTAACCATTTGCTTTTTTCAGGGTAATCTTAATACTGAAAAGAACACTGTAGCTATGAAGTTTCATCATAATCTCCATTCCCACAACCAGGTTGTAAGAGAGATATCATCTGAAGTGAAGGACAGGAAATTTTTAAAATGTAAAATATCACTGAATGTTTTCTTAGCAAGTTTTGAGAGGCCATCGCATCTATTAAATAGGAAGATAATTTATATAAAATTTTAATCTAGAACTGTATTTCTTTAACATAATAAACATAATTGCTCTATTTAAAATCACATTGAACATAACAAATTGTAAATTAGACAAGTCAGAAAACCAATTTGTCAACTGTTTAAAAATTGAAGAAATAGTCCAGAATTCTTAGGAAGCAGAAAGGGATATTTAACGTGTGAGAAAAAGGTACTACCACAATAGCAGCTTTATTCCCAATGGCTCCAAATTGGAAAATATTCAACATCTGACAATGCAATGGAGAAATGATTGTGTTACATTTATGTAACAGAATACAATATAGCACAAAAAAATCAAGTGTAATTTCCAACACAGATATTTCAAATATAACATTGAATAAAATATAGTAGACACAAAATAATACAGTATGTAGTCAGAATAGTGATTAAATTTGGTAGCATTATGTATTTATTCTGAGGGAGACATGAGGAAGGCTTTTGGAATTCTAAATTCTATATCTTGATCTGGGTGATGATTACATGAGTATATTCATTTCAAAAATTCATTGGGCTGAACACTTAAGATTTGTGCAGTCTATGTATTTTATACCTCACTTAGAAAACTTAAAATGGCAAGTATATTATCTTGACCAATAATCTATTGCTGTGTGACAAACCACTCCAAAAGTTAGTGATTTAAAAGAACAACATATTATTATCTCTTGTGATTCTGTAGAAGGGCTCAGCTGGACAGTTCTCACTTAGGGCTGCTCACATGGTCACTGTCAGATAGTCACTGAGGCTGAAGATATCTGAAGACTCAACTAGGCTGAATATCCAAGGTGGCTTTTTTGTGCCCCTGTTGGTTCGTTACCTGGGATGGCTGCAGTAGCTGTGGACCCGCTGAGCATTTCTCTCTGTACACAGCCTTTTGATGTGATTAGATGAGCTGTCTCACAGCATGGTGGCCTCTAGGCAGCTAAAGTTTTGGCATGGTCGTTGACCACCCTAACTGTGAGCATTCAAGAGACCCGGGTGTGGTCAACTAGGCTCCTTACAGCCCAGCCTGAGAAATATGCAGTGACACCTCCACCACAATCCAGCCAGCTCGGATTCAAGAGAAGGGCACCCCTGGGAAGGTGACCACTGGCCAGTGTGTTTCATCAGGCTGGTGTCTTTGAAGACCAAATACCACACCACAGCCATTTGAATTTGTGTCATTACTTGGTACTCTTATTTTTTCCCTGCTGCTCTTTTTGCATTGAAGTCCTTTTGGGATGACATCAATAAAACTATTTCATGTTTTTAAGATTGTATTTGTCAAGTATTTCTTTTTCAACCTTTCTACATGCAGCCTTTTTGTTGTTTTTATTCTTCAGGTGGGTATTTCATAAGCAGTGTGTATTTTTTCAGCCCATGATTTATAGAACTAGAATCCTCAGTCTATTGTCTTAAATGTATTTCTGTATAGTTTTCTATAGAAGGTGATTTCCTGGGTTTTGAGTTATGTTTCTTGCTTGGTTTTGTACATTAATTTTTCTCACATTTTGGTTTCTTCTTCCCTCATGCATGACCTTATTTTTGTTGACTATTTTTCTCATTTCATTATTTTGCCTTTCAGAAGTCCGCAATTCATTTTCATTTTTTGATGGTTAACTGTAACATTTTATTATATAATTATATTAAGAAAATCTGAGATTAGTCTTATCTTTACCATTCTCCTGAAGCCTATGTGAACTTTAGAACAATTAACACCTATGGTTCCCCTTCATGATTTCCAATATTTTGGATAGTCAGAATGTTAGATCTACCATAACTAGAAGTATTGTTTTATTTTACCAATACTTAATTACAATTACCTACCTATGTGTTAACCATCATCTTTAATCGTCATTGTTTTTGCACAAAACTTTAGTATACCAACTCAGAGCAGAAAGAGGATCCATCATATTCTGTGTCTGCCCTATTAAGCATGCTTCTCTGCTGCATGGCCTTTGATTCCTAGTAGTAGATTTATCCCAGGCAAAGATGTAGAGCCCTATTATGGGCTATCAGATCTCAACACCAAGGATTTCTTGTGCCACAGCCCTTTGGTGCCAGGCCTCTGACTCTAACTTCTATCTCTTTTTCCAACAGTTCTCATGGATACTGAAGTCCCCCAGACACCAAGAAAACTGGTCACATTGACTAATTTTAAGAGATGGCCTTGAAGTAGTCTCAGAAAATGAAAAGTCATAGCACATACTAGCTATTGACAATGTATGGTTTTGGCTATGGCAAACCCATAACACAAATGGAAGTGTCAGGGAAGAAAAACCACCATGAGCATTAAGGAACAAAAGAATATATTATAGGAATGAGGCCTGACACAATTTGGGGAGAAGATGGATAAGTGAAAGTTTGAAAAGGGTCAGAAAAAACAACTCTAACCAGCTCTGGTGAAGGTGGATGAACTGGACTTCGCATTAAGTTTTGCATTAAGCTGTTATATCCATACACTATATGGAACCCTGAAGGGGCTGGTGTAGGAATCTATGAAGATGGCTGACTCTATGTGCCAATAGCCCTGTGAGTTCTCAGAAAATTTGGTGGTGGCACTGCAGTCCCTCCTGGTCAGCAGGGCTGGCAGTCGGTATAAAGAGCTGGATGTGAAGCAGGGGAAAGTCAGCATAAATTGGAACTCACCGGCACTTTTGATGCTACTCCTTACTGCCTGGAGCCAGTGATGACTTCAGAACTCAGTAGCAGCTGTTTTACTTTCCCCTTACAAACTTCCTGCATTTCTTACCCCATGATCAACTCTAACCCGGAACCATACTAGGAAAAAAGTTGTCCGAAACATATTCCTTGCTTAGCTAAGTTGACACAGTGATAAAACCCCACAAGAATATCCAGATGCTCCTTGACTTGCAGTGGGGTAATATCCTGATAAATCCAGCACAAATTGAAAACATCATAATTCAACTTACAATATCCAGCTTATCTGTACATAACCCCATCATAAGTCAAGGAGCACACTGAAATGCATATTGCTTTTGCACCATTGTAAAGTTGAAAAGTCATTGAACCATCATGAGACCATCTGTACCTGACAATTAGTGTTTCTCAAAATAAATAGGAAGATTTTCTTCTGATCTGAAGGTCTTCCAGCCACTCCCTCCCAGACATATCATAATATTGGACCAGAGGTCACCCATAGCAAGCTGTCCCTACTTATTCTTTGCAGAAAAAGTACAGTTACAGTATGAAGTGGCCTCATTTTAATGAGGCCCAACATACCCAGGAAATAAAAAATGCAGCCACAGGAGCATACAGATGCCCTTTAATAGATATGTCAATATTAACATAATGCAATAGCTATATTTGTTATAAAACGATTTCACTATTGCACAAACATAATATGATGGGCGAAGTCTTAATCTTATCTTTTCTAGCTACCTATGCCAGAGAAGCAGAACTAAATATTAAATGAAAGCACAATTGAGAGGCTGTTATAAAAATGAAAACATAGGGCTTTCAAAAAAACTTTCCAGCTCCTTGTAATTGCTACATATTTCCAACATCGATCCATTAAAACAAGTATCCCAGCCTGTTCAAATCAAAGAATTTCTTATGCCTCCTAGAAACTATTTTCACTGTCCAGTACTTAGTATGACCTCCATTACAATAGAATAAATTTAATTATTCTCACAACCTCAACAGTGATTAACACGGAAACATACAAGCTAAATTGAGAAATATTATTAGAATGTTTAGAATTAAGTCCCTTTATATATGAGGGAAATTGTCATGAGATACACATGAGGTAACTATCTCATTTAGAAAATGATGAAGTGGCTTCAACATGATTATGAAGAAACATTGGACTTCCAGCCGAGGCACTGGCCTGTGCTTTATCAATATTTATGGTAGTGCCAACCTGTGGGTCTAGTGATTAACAACCATGAGTTGTCTTGGTGTTATTACTTTGAGGATATGAAACAGAAGCAGCAAACAGACTCCAATGCCATTCATTACCTAAACCTACACTCCTTTCCTTATAGGAAACTCACTTAAGTCATTACAATGCTTTATGTCTCAGTGTATCTTTAATAAATTTGGAAGTTGAATTGGGAAGTCTTTAGGCCACTTTAGGCAATGTATGGGTTTTTTGTTTTCTTTTGATATGGGGTCTCACTCTGTCACCCAGGCTGGAGTGCAGTGGCATGATTTCAGCTCATTGCAACCTCCGCCTCCTGGGTTCAAGCAATTCTCTCCCTCAGCCTCCTGAGTAGCTGGGATTACAGGTGTCCACCACCACGCCTGGCTAATTTTTGTGTTTTTAGTAGAGATGGGTTTTCACCATGTTGGCCAGATTGGTCTTGAACTCCTAACCTTGTGATCCACCCGCCTCGGACTCCCAAAGTTCTGGAATTACAGGCGTGAGCCACCTCACCCGACCTGTATGGTTTTTTGACAGGCAGAGATGGACGTAACATCAGTCATGGGCAAAGATTACCACCAGGGGGCAGACTAGGGCATCCTTGGGATTCTGTGATCAGTCATCCCTCCTCGCTGGTGAATGGAGGCAGTGGTCACAACTCTCCCCAGAGAAGGTGGTGTGAGGCCATCACGGAAGATGCTGCTGCTTCTGCTGCTTCTGGGGCCAGGTATAAGCCTCCTTCTACCTGGGAGCTTGGGTGGGCATGTGCGTGTGTTGGCATGGTCAAGTGGTGGCCAGCAGGGTTGCAATGTGGATTGTTTATGCTCATCGAAGGGAGAGGGAGAGGCCCTGCTCTCTAGAGGTGTAAATGGTAAGGTGAAAGCCGCCGGTCAGAGGAGATGGGGGATTATGGCCCTAGGGAGATGACGGGAAGATTGCACAAAACAAACAGGACTCTCCAGGAGCTGGGAGCACAGGGAGGGAGTGAGGCTCAGCTCTGCCTGGCGTCCTGTCTGACTCGGCTCCCACTGGGCTCTCCTCTCTCTCTGGCTTCTGTCTCAGCAGGCTCCGGGCTTGGTGCTGTCGTCTCTCAACATCCGAGCAGGGTTATCTGTAAGAGTGGAACCTCTGTGAAGATCGAGTGCCGTTCCCTGGACTTTCAGGCCACAACTATGTTTTGGTATCGTCAGTTCCCGAAACAGAGTCTCATGCTGATGGCAACTTCCAATGAGGGCTCCAAGGCCACATACGAGCAAGGCGTCGAGAAGGACAAGTTTCTCATCAACCATGCAAGCCTGACCTTGTCCACTCTGACAGTGACCAGTGCCCATCCTGAAGACAGCAGCTTCTACATCTGCAGTGCTAGAGACACAGCGCCAGGAGGGGATCAGACACCGCGGCAAGAACCCCTGCAGCTGCCCTCCGCCCCAGCGGGCCCCCTGAGTGCTGAGAGGGGAAGCGTGGAGAATGGAAAACCACAGCTTTCCTGACTGAGACATCTGGGAGTGTGTGTGCAGGGGGTGGGGCGGGGGGGAGGGGGAGAAAAAGAAAAGAAGCACTGTGAGTGTGGAGTATGGAGGAGGTGTAGTGTTTGAGACCCACGAAATGGCAATAGAGTTGGGCCTAAAGTGGTCGGCGGACATGGAAAGTTCCCTGAAAATTATAAAACCTGGAATTTTGCCCTGACTCTGCCACATTAGTCATGTATTCTTGAATAGATCTACACATAATCCTAGAGGTAGATATGAAGACAGTTGTATAATCACTGTGTATTTCCTATAATAAACTTCAGCGATTGGCTTTCTTGTCATCATGCTGGGCTCTCAAGACAAAGATAACCAAGAGGCAGCCAAGTAGAGAGTTATGCATGAATACGTTACCTTAGGGGAGGATAGCAACAGCATTGAATAGCATTCACTCCAAATTTGTGTTCTGTCCTCCTTAGACCAGGCCACCAAAATAAAATCCTATCACATTTCCTGTAAATGTTGAACGCCATCATGTTCTCCATGGTGTTTCGGTTGATGAATGAACAGAGTAAGACTCGGTACAAAGGGAGGGGAGCACCCTCTATGCCTAGGTACACACCATACGGAATGTATCGCTAGGGAAGGTGCTGGTGAGCTGGCTCCTGGGAAAGGTGTCAAGGGGAAGAGGGGGCAGAGGTACCTAGAAGGAAGACCTCAGACAACATGGCTTGTCTACAGAGTTGGAAAGTTCTGCCAGTAGTTAGAAGACAGTAAGTGGAACAGTGAAAATCCTTTCCTAGGAGAAACCAAACATTTACATTGACCACAAATCTGTATGAACCAACAGAAAATGAGCAAAACATATGACCATACATTTAATAGAATAAACATATATGACTAATAAACATATAGAGATATTTCACTTCATTGATGATCAGGATAATATGAAGCAAGACACAATGATACATAGTTTTATATCCACTTGATTAGCAAAATATAAAAAGTTTAGAAATATAAAATGTTAGCGAGGGTATGGATTCATAGGATTACTTATAAATTACTGATGGGAGCATAAGTACTATCAACCATTTGGAAACAGTTCAGCATTATCTCGTAGTTGAAGATTCCTATATCCCATAACTCAGCAATTCCACTCCTAGGTTTACATCAGGAGAAGCTCTTGCATACACATATCAGAAGACATAAATAAAAAAGTGTTCTTCACAGCACCAAACAGTAGAAAAACATGGCACCAAGCCACATATGCACTGAGAAGAGTGAATGAATAAACTGTGACATATTCATATGAGTCAAAATGAATGAACTATAGTGAAGAGCAAGGTTATAGGTGAATCTTAGCAATATAATAGCAAATGTAAAAACTAAGTCTAATGAGATTATGCAAAGCATAATGTGCTTTTCATAAAGCTAAAAACAAGTCAAGAAAATAATTTTCAGGACTAAAATATATTAGAACAAATTATATTGAAAGGAAAGCAAAGATGAGTTGTATGCTGGAGCCTACTTTATCAGCTCATGGGAGCTGACTGTATACATTTTTCCCAACTCCAGTTTTAGTGACATCATTTTGTTAGCTTGAAATTGGCCATAGTGAGGGTATTTACACTACAGAAATTAGCAAACACAGCAAATTACGGTTTGCTTTATTTTCCTCCAGACTTAGCTGTCAACCCTTTACCCTTTACCAACACACTACTGGCAGGGAATAATAATGACCCAAGTTCAGGATTTTTATAAGGCTGGGGCATGGCAGGAAATAGAATGAGAGAGAACTATATGGCTATACATTGAAATATTATCAAGGTCTATCTTGCATAATGTTGAGGAGGAGAAGTTTTACAAGTTCCTATTATGTTTTTTAAAAATATTCATTGACAAGCAATGCCTGTGTGTTATGAACCACAGGTTAAGATAAATAAAATTGAATGCATATAGCATCAAAAAGAAGAGAAAACAAATAAATGAATAGATTAGAGTTCTTACAAGAAAAGGATCAAGGGCATTTTATAGTCAAAACCAGGAGTGAAATAGCAGTGGCTTAACTGCTACCATCCTCATATAGATATCGGCTGCTGAATTAATCACAGCGGACAACCTACCACCCAACAGACCTGGACCCTTGTCAACCCTTTGCAACACAGAACAGGGGTTTAGACAATAAGGGTGAACGTGAAAGCGTGGAGATGACACCTGGCCCCTGACCAAGGTGGAACTGACTGGAACAAGATGGGAGCCAATTCTGCAGTGAACACGCTGCTGCTTTTCGTCTCCGCTATGACCGTGTGTTGCTGGTGGTTAAATACCCCACCTGGGTTCAGTCACCTCAGACTGTGCCATTGCCACTGATCTCAGGACCCACTTTAGTTGTAGCCTTTTACTCTGTTAGCGTTTTCAGCCTGGAGAACAGAGCTAGTAAAATACTTATAAAATATTCCACTGCTTCACTAACGGCATGGAAAAGACAAGAGCTTTTAAGGCTCTGGCATGAAACAGGGAGACAGTGGTTACATTCCTATTTCACGCAGTCACTATTTCCGTCTACGTTAAGCTGAGGAGTGTAGTGTTTCGGTGACATTTAGCATGGAACGCTGCTGGGTTCAGACCTGACATTCCCAAACCAGCTGACTGTCAAGGACACAGCCTACTGCCTACCTATATTACCTTAGGAAACGAGACAACAGCATTGAACAGCATTCAGTCCATATTTGTGTTCTGTCTTCCTTGGACAAGTACCAACAAAATAAAATCCTATCACATTTCCTGTAAATTTTGAATGACATAAATTTTTGATTAGCAATTCTTTTTGAAGTGTTGAACTTTTTGTTCTGATTTTATATTCTACTCTCTGTGCTTTGTTGTATTTAAAATCAAGTTCACCTTTCAGAGGCAGTGATGGGTGAGGTAAGAGACAGACTCTTACATCCTCCTCCCCAACACACACACACACACACACATACACACACACACACACACACACACGGAGGCACTGTTTTTCCCAGTAATGGAGAAGCCATGGGAAGAATTTCAGAGGTTTCAAGGGAGCTAGGGTCGTCTAATTCCTCTATATCCTTGGATATCCCCATTCTTAATGTCAAAAATAATCTCTCGAACTGGTTTCCCAGAGTCTCAACCCATTTGCTATAGTACATGCACCATCTCAGGTGTCCAAAGATGAATATTTGATAAGCTACTTCTCAACTTCATACCTCTGCTGCTGTTTTTCCATTCTGGAATGTGGAAAGCAGTGTGACTCCTATTAACTGACCAGTAGTCAATTTTAACTACCCATAAATATGTGAGTGTCTTTTATCTGTAATCTCCTATCTGGTGCCATTTTTGAAAACCAGTTAAGACTCTTTTATCCTAAAAAATGAACTATGTCTAATTTCTTGAAAGTAATTATTGATGAAATACTCCCTGGAGAGTCTGAAGCCCCTGATATTGCATATTTAATTGTTATCCTCCTTTTAATAAAAGGTATAGGAAGAAATTTTAAATATTATTCCTAAATACCTTACATCAAGATGAGCTAGAGTTAATTAAGTGGGACGAGGGATAATGAATTCAAGGGCATTTAAGAAAGATTAAAGAACCAGTGCAAAATGTTTTAATCAGGAAAGAAATTAGTGTGTTTAATGACAGGAAAGAAGTCAGCAGAGTGACAGGAGCAGGGGGAGGAGGTGGTTGAGTACAGGGCAAAATTGAAGAAGGCAGGAAGGCACCAGACCACTCAGAACCTTACTGGTCAAGGTAAATGATACAGAATCCAACATAAAGCTTAATAGGAGACACTGAGGTTTTCAACATTTGACTTCTTTAGTAATCAGATTCGTGGCTGTGTGTGTATCTGTGTATTTAATCACCCTGGTCACAAAGTGAAGAAATAATGGACCATGCAGGGAAGGCAAAATGTTACCTCTACCCTCTTGCAGTTTTTCGGCTGGTCCTGAGAATGGAAGATTAACAGGAAGGAAAGCATACACATGTATTTAATACAAGTTTTACATCACATGAAAGCCCCCATAATTAAAGGAAGAACTGAATGTGCAGTTAGAGTTGAACATTCATATATTGAATTGGGCAAAGGGTCATACATTGTGGAAAGGTGAAAAAGTAAAGGGGCTTAGGCTAGGGTTGCTGGTTGAATGGCAAAGTGACTAGGAAGGTGAGGATTAGTTTAACAAGCTTTTTTTGTTACAGATTCCTTGGCCTCAACATCATCCCATTCTATCTTGGATGTTAAGAATATTCTTTTTTCCTGGTATAGATAAGACATCTTTTATATGGGAAGCTTATTCCATTTTTCAAGAAGAAAAGGGGAAGGGTCAGAGTACTCCTCTTATACTTGCTATTGTCTTTAATGCCTCTAGCTCAAAATATTCCTTATGCCAAAGTGGCATATTTTGGGCAGAGGGTTGGGAGGCTTATGCTGCCACCCTCCAGCAGTGTGAACAGAGTTGATGCGGAGGAAAAACTTAGCTCAGGCAAGCAGTAGTTTAGCTCAGATAATGATGATGGTGTTAGAAATATGGGGAAAATGAGACATTTAAAAGGAAGTAAATCAAAGGACTTGGCAATTGATTAGACATGAGCAGCAATATGCAGGGGGTGGTGGGTGGTGATTAAGAGAGACTGCTACACACAGACAAATAAGAAGGACCAAGTGGGAAGAAGATCAAGATTTACTTTGAGATTGGGAGTGCCTTAGGGACAGTAATCTAACCAGGAATATGCAGAGAGCAGTTGGATGTACAAGTCATGGACTCAGAAAATGGATCTGGATAAGAAGCACACCTTTGGGACATTTAGCATCACTGGAAGAATGAAAGTGCCTCCAATCCCTTGATATACAGTTTACAATGAAAAGATCAGAGAGCATAGGATAGCGGTTTAGGGAGCACACCTGCCTTGGGGGACTATAAAAGGTTGAGGGAGGCAAAATGCACTGATAAACCACCATCGGCATTAGACTAATGGCTGAATAATTGTGTAAGTAATTGCTAGTAACAATGCTGTGGAGTATGTGGCAGGTAGCACATCAAGTGCTGCTTTTTTCTTAATTTCGCTCTGATACCTGGAATGCCTTTTTGCTGCCTCGCTGCCGGGCGGGCCACTCCCGACTCAGGCAGGCCGAGGCAGAGCTCCGCGGGCATTGGATGAATTCGCTCCTTTGACCACTAGAGGGTGATGTGGATCTTTCTATAAAATATCTGCCGCTCATCAAGTGGGGACTCACAGCTTCACCGGATATTTCAGATGAGATGTTTAGGTACTGACTGACCAAAAAAATTGCAGATATCCTGGGAGGCCAATTGGTCTTTAAAATGGCAGGATCTAATCTTAACATTTTGTAATAACCCTTAGCGTTTACCCATATCTGGCACCTGTAGTTGTGTGATTTCTACACAGTTGATAAATATATAAATGAATAATACCGTGATTTCTATTCAACATTGTGCTGAATTTGCAACCAGTGAAACAAGGGGAAAAAGTTGAAAATGAGAAAGGAAAGAAAAATAAGTATTGGCGCACGACAAGTTTATTTATAGAGATTCAAAAGGGTCTAAAGAAGCAATGCATTATCAATAACAAAATGTAGTAAGTTTACTGAATTTAACATAAATATAAAACATTATTTTATTTTCACATACTACAAGCAGTTATGTTTTTTAACGAGAGACAATTTACAAATAATGATATAAAATAGAAAATAAACACCTAAGAACAAATCTATTAGATTAGCAAGACTATCATGCAGAAAACTATTAAAATTTTAGGGGAATCAGGGCCGCGCTCAGTGGCTCACGCTTGTAATCTCAGCACTTTGGGAGGCCGAGGCGGGCAGATCATGAGGTCAGGAGTTCAAGACCAGCCTGGCCAATAGGGTGAAACCCATCTCTACTAAACGTACAAAAAAATTAGCCAGGCATGGTGGTGCACGCCTGTAGTCCCAGCTAGTCCGGAAGCTGAGGCAGGAGAATGGCTTGAACCCAGAAGGCGGAGCTTGCAGTGAACCGAGATCATGCCACTGCACTCCAGCCTGGGCGACAGAGCTAGCCTCTGTCTCTAAATAAATACATTTAAGGGAATTATTTTAAAAGTTTGAAATAAGCCGGGCGCGGTGGCTCACACCTGTAATCCCAGCACTTTGGGAGGCCGAGGTGGCTGGATCACCTGAGGTCAGGAGTTCAAGACCAGCCTGGCCAACATGGTGAAACCCTGTCTCTGCTAAAAACACAAAAAATTAGCTGGACATGGTGGTGGGTGCCTGTAATCCCAGCTACTCAGAAGCCTAAGGCAGGAGAATTGCTGGAACCCGGGAGGCGGAGGTTGCAGTGAGCTGAGATTGCACCATTGCACTCCAGGCGGCTGGGCGACAGAAAGAAACTCCGTCTCAAAAAAAAAAAGTTTGAAATAAGTAAAGATATACAACATGATCATGAAAAAGTGAATCCAATAGTAAGGTTGTTTCAATTTCTGCAGTATTATCTATATATTCAATACCACAGTAATCAAACTACAAAAGATTTACTTTATGAAATTTGTCAAATAATCTACAACTAAGTGAAAAAGAACAAAAATAAGCAATATTTAAGAAGTACAAAAAGTGATGTGAATTGCTCTACCAATTATCAAATTATGTTATCATTTAGGATAATGAAAGAAGCGTGATTAAATAGGCAAATGGAAAACAGAAAATGAAAAATAGGCCCATGAATATACAGGAATTTCATATATAATAGAGGTGTTATTGAAGATATACGGAGGAATGATGTAATATACAAGTTATTCTGGAACAGGTGGTTATCCATACAAGGAAAGATGAATTTAAACCTTACTTCACAATATATGTCAAAATAAATCACAAGTGAATTAAATGCTTAAATGCAAAATTCAAAATGTTAGGAGTTTTGGTAAATAATAAGGATTATATCTTCATGAACTTGGGCTATGGAAGATTTTTTTTAACAAAGAATTAAAAAACATGTTTACCCCAAATAAAAGAATAATGCATTCTACTAAAGAAACCCAACAAAAAGTAGCACAAACAGAATAAAGACATACACCACAAATTGGAAAGATATTAGCAACACACATAGCTGACAAAGGTTGGGTATCCAGAGTCTAGAAAAAACTGTTACAAATAAATAATAGCTAATCAACCAAAAAGAAATATGGACAAAGGGCAGTTTACAGGCAACACTGGTGGCCTATAATATATCAAATATATTCAACCTCCTTAGCAACCAGAAAGAAGCAAACAAAAACTATATTGCACCATGAGATAATATTAACATACTAGACTGGCAAAATTAAAGGTATATTAAATAGCAAGTGTAGTCCTAGATGTGGAACATCTGAACACACTCATGAGCTGTTGGTGGGATCACTTATTTGGCTTAATCACTTTGGAAAGCATTTTGTTATGTTATGTAAAGTTGACATGTTGACTTGAAAACTCAGTCTTTACATTGCCAGGTATGGCAACAATCTTGCACCTAGAAAAGCAGAGACATGTTCGAGAATACAATACTGTTTGTAGCAGCACAAACACCCAGGGAAAAATTAGTGTGCATTAATTCAAGAATGAATAAATTCTAGCCAATGAATATAATGTAATACTAGATGGCAGCGAAAGTAAATTGTCTAGATTGTGTGTCAACGTATTATCACAGACCTAATGTTGAATGAAAAAATAACATTGTAGAAAATATATAAACTAGCTGATTCCTCTTAGATACATTTCAAAGACACACAAAATTAAATACTACATAATTTACAGATTCTTGTGTAAATGCTAAAGACTATAATGCCAAGCTAGTGAATGACAAATTTAAACTTCAGATTACACCTACCTGGGCATGACGGAGAAACAATGAGGAAATCTAAAAGAGTAACATGGACTGAGAAATTTTCAGCAATAATCTAACTCTTAAGCTGATTGGTTCAGGCAAAGGTATTCATTTTATTGCTTCTATATATGCATTGCATATTTGTCATAAATATTGTTCTGTATAGTTCAACATTTCATTATTTAATGTAGCCGGGCACAGTGGCTCATGCCTGTAATCCCAACAGTTTGGGAGGCTGAGGTGGGCAGATCACTTGAGGTCAGGAATTAAAGACCAGCCAGTGACATGGTGAAAGCCTGTCTCTACTAAAAATACAAAAATTAGCCAGGTGCGGTGGTGGGGGCCTGTAATCCCAGCTACTCAGGAGGCTGAGGCAGGAGACTGCTTGAACCCGGGAGACAAAGGCTGCAGTGGGCTGAGATCATGCCACTGCACTCCAGCCTGGGAGACAGAGCAAGATCCGTCTCAAAAATAAATAAATAAATAAATAAATAAATAAATAAATAAATAAATAAATACTTACTTAATGTAAAGCAGCTGCTATGTGATTTTATAAGTGTGTCAAAAGCTACTATTTGTAAAGACCGAGTTGTATGATTCCTTACCTGAGATGGAAGGGAGGGGAAGAAGCAAACTGACAAGTTAAAAAAGTAAATAGAGTGTAAATTAGTTCAACCATTGTGGAAGACAGTGTGGAGATTTCTCAAGGATCTAGAACCAGAAATACCATTTGACCCAGCAATCCCATTACTGGGTATATACCCAAAGGATTATAAATCATTCTACTATAAAGAGACATGCACATACATGTTTATTGCACCACTGTTCACAATAGCAAAGACTTGGAACCAACCAAAATGCCCATCAATGATAGACTGGATAAAGAAAATGTGACACATATATTCCGTGGAATATTATGCAGCCATAAAAAAGGATGAGTTCATGTCCTTTGCAGGGACATAGATGAAGTTGGAAACCATCATTCTCAGCAATCTATCACAAGAACAGAAAACCAAACACCGCATGTTCTCCCTCATAAGTGGGAGCTGAACAATGAGAACACATGGACACAGGGAGGGGAACATCACACATGGGGCCTGTCGGGGGATGGAGGGCTAGGGGAGGGATAGCATTAGGAGAAATACCTAATGTAGATGATGGGTTGATAGGTGCAGCAAACCACCATGGCATGTGTATACTTATGTAACAAAAGTGCACATTCTGCACATGTACCCCAGAACTTAAAGTATAATAATTTTTTAAGTAAATAAATGTATGAGTGATTTTACTTAAAAAAAATAGCAAAACAGTGAGTAACAGAAAAAAAAAAAACTAAAAGCAGGCTGAAACTTACACTATTTTTAACAGCTAAAACAAAGTCTGCCCTCCTACATTCTTTGAAATTGAAATGACTCTGTCCCATGTACAGAGCATCTACAAAGGCTATGGAAAGTGATCACGTCACAAGGAGGTTGCTGACGGGGGCTAGGAGAGTGGGTGAAGAAGCCTTACAGAAAAAGCTACCACTACGATTTCTTTCTGAGCCAACCATGTGCCTCAGACTTCTCTGCTGTGTGGCCATTTCTTTCTGGGGAGCCAGGTAAGGCCCTGTTCTGAACTGGTTGAATTTCAGTTCCAAGACTCTCTCCGGTGGCTGCAGTATCAAGCTCCCTCCTGCGCTTTTTCTACAGCTGCTCTCTCCTTCCTCCACAGGCTCCACGGACACCAAGGTCACCCAGAGACCTAGACTTCTGGCCAAAGCAAGTGAACAGAAAGCAAAGATGGATTGTGTTCCTATAAAAGCACATAGTTATGTTTACTGGTATCGTAAGAAGCTGGAAGAAGAGCTCAAGTTTTTGGTTTACTTTCAGAACGAAGAACTTATTCAGAAAGCAGAAATAATCAATGAGCGATTTTTAGCCCAATGCTCCAAAAACTCATCCTGTACCTTGGAGATCCAGTCCACGGAGTCAGGGGACACAGCACTGTATTTCTGTGCCAGCAGCAAAGCCACAGTGCCGAATGTTAGCCCTTCTTAGAACACAAACTCATTATGGACCCAGCTCAGGAAATAAGTGTGTAGCAGGTTGGTAGGCACTACGTAACAGAAACCCAACTTGAAAGACAATAAATCAGAAGGAAAAACTTGTAAATAACAGCTCTAAGTGAGCAAAAAACAAAGGGGGGTTATTTAAAACAACTGATGGGGACAAAACCCCAGGGAAGGGGCCAGAAGGCATAAAAAGCTTGGATTCCTCAGTGTTCAGCATATTAGGTAAGATATGCTAGGTTACCCTCTCTCTCTCTCTACATGAGCTTTATGGATTTCTAACAATCTTTATTTAAAGAAGGGGATTCTGTGCTTTTCACTTGGTAAAGTTGTGGGTGCACAAATAAGAATGACAAGCGGATCAACTGTGTCTTTCAGGTAGACCCTGATCTTCTGACCCAGCACATTTCCTTGAACTAGAGACAGACTCTAAAGGGCTTTTTGACTGCTTCTCACAGCTCTCCCTGCCATAGAAGCCTAGTGGGAACCATTAGCAATTCCTGCCCTATGGAATGTTACAATCACAAATTTTTATTTTTATTTATTTATTTATATTTATTTTAATTTTTTTTTGAGACGGAGTCTCGCTCTGTCATCCAGGCTGGAGTGCAGTGGCGTGATCTCGGCTCACTACAAGTTCCGCCTCCTGGGTTCACGCCATTCTCCTGCCTCAGCCTCCCGAGTAGCTGGGACTACAGGCGCCCGCCACCACGCCCAGCTAATTTTTTGTATTTCTTTTAGTGGAGACGGTGTTTCACCGTGTTAGCCAGGATGGTCTCGATCTCCTGACCTCGTAATCCGCCTGCCTCGGCCTCCCAGAGTGCTGGGATTACAGGCATGAGCCACCACGCCTGGCCAACAATTACGAACATTTTTAAAGCAACTCTATTGAGACATAAGATATATATGGAATATGTATGCAATAAACAAATCCAACTGCTGCAATAAAACACACCCGCATTTTAAGTGTACACTTCAACAAATTTTAACACATTTTTATACCCATGATGTAACCATGATGACAATCAAGATACAAAACATTTTCATCGTCTCAGAAAGTCCCTCACATCTCTTTATTGAGGTCTTGTTAATTTCTCTCAGCATCGCTTTGTATTTTTTATTATACAGATCTTATATATATTTTCCTAAATTTTATTTTAACAAGATTATAAATGTACTCAATAAAAATATTTTCTGCCAAGATTTCACGTCAGCCTAATTCAATTTCGTCTTTACATTTTTCAATTGACATCTCTACCTCAGTATGTTACATAAAAATACCTTCTCCAGAAATTGCATATGGTTTGGAGCAACCATATGTGAGCTCACAGCGTCAGCCTCATTCACCATGTGAACCAATCAAGTGTCAGTGCTGCTCTGTTTCCAGGTAAAATATACTTATTTACATGTATTGGAAAAGCTGTGAAATTTCTGCAAGGTGTACTTTAAGAAGAGATACATTTTGTTAATGAAAACATACCTATGCGTTAAGATTAATTAAAGGGAATATTTTGCAGTTAAGCACATGATTTGGAATGAGGGGTTGCAGCCCTGCTGGTCGAGCCTCTGAATTCCATTCTTGTTTCTCCCATAGGCCACCTTCATCAGGTCTATAGTTCTACAACACAGAGTGTCAGTAGTAGGGAACGTTGTTCATGTGAGTGCAGGGAATACTTGGGATTCTGTAGTTTCTGCTCAACTTTGCTGTGGACTTAAAATTGCTCCAAAAATACAATTCACTAATTTAAAAATGGATCCAAGTATTCAGATGGAGAATTACCATATTGGAGGCACGAAATGGGAACATACTGTTGAATCTGTTGCAATATAGGAAGAGTGTTTAATGACATAAACTTTTTCATTATTTACTCCTTTATCTAGGAAATAGGACACTATTTAACACTGACTACAATGAGGATCTTAAATACAGTAGAACTGTCTAAATTCCATCAATAAGAATAGTGCATATATTACCAATATTGGGATCTGAGGTGTCTCAGAATTAGTAACACATAGTACTGTAGAGATTATTTTAAAACATAGTGTGGAGATAATTTTGTGATTCCATTTTAGGAATACTATTTCTGATTACATGGTTTCTTAGCATAAAGCCTTACTCTTTCATGCAAGAGAGTATATACTATCATACTATGTCCCTGTAGTTTTCTATTCCAATAATGCTCCTCAGGAATAAAATATACATGATAATCATGATGATGATATGGATAATGATGAATATAATTGATAATGCAGACAGTATGTAGAAAGATAGATGATAGAATTTGTACCATGTTTCCAGGACTAGAACACAATCATGGTAAGTATAATATAATACCTGTTATAATTGAAGTCTGTAAACAGTCTAAAGAAGTAGTTTAAATTGTTTCCCTTGACACCTTGACAAATCTGCAAACTACACATATAGGCTAAGTACTTCCGAGGCTATATGAACGTTCTAAAAAACATTTCCTGTCTGTGGATTCCAGCATAATGCATATTCTCTTCTAAGGCAGAAGTTTTTAACCTGGGATCCGTGGACCTCCAAGGAGTGCAGAGATAAAATTCAGGGAATCAATAAATTTGAATGGGAAAATAGATCTTTATTTTAACTAACCTCCAACTGAAATATACCTTTCCTTCTATGATATAATGAGTAAACCATAGTAGTTTTAGTAATATCAGTGACAAAGTCAATGACAGAAATCACAGACATTTGCTTATATGTTGCATAGATGACAGTTGATATAAAAGTCAGATATTTTCATACCACGTTAAATGCAGTAAATATACTTTCATCACTATGTTGAAATCATGACAGTTTTCAGATTCAGCAGGTTATATTTCATTTAATGAAATTTAAAGGTGTTCCTATATTAATATATGAGAATTTAAAAAAATTGATATCTGCATTTCAAAATAATTTTCTATATTCTAGTTTATGCATTTAAAATGTTATTCTGAGATGGGGTCCTTAGGATTTACCAGTCTGACAAAGAGGTCCCTGGTACAATGTGAAGAACTCCTGGACACAGAATTAGATCCTCAACGCAGGCATGATTGACAACCTGAAGCCTAGACCTACGCATTGGAAACAACTATGTTGCAAGCATTCTTTCTCAGAGTTTCACCCACACTGCCGCACCTCTTAATGCTTCTCACTCTAAATAATTACTTTATATTCTCTTTCTGTCTCTCTCCTGCTCTTTCTTTTCTCTCTCTCTCTCTCTCTCTGCCTTGTTTTTCTTCTAGGAGGGAACAGCAACAGCTTCTAAACCCCACCAGCTTGCAACCAAAAGTTTCATCATGAAAGCATCTTTTAATTGCAGATAACCTCAGAAATAGAACAACATTTGTCTACCAAAACAAAAGCATTCATTAAGAAATCAGCTAGGATCCTATTTTTATTTACTAAAACTACTTGGAAGAACCCATGTTATACAATGAATTTACACTCATACAAATTTCTACTCAGTTGGAAAATGAGACTTTAGTCAGCTGGTACAACCCTATGACCATAAATGTCTCATTTCACTTGATACAGTATTGACTTCCTAACTTCCTGTGAATTAGAACTTCAGGTCCAGAAAGTAATAAGAGCAAACGCAAATCTAGTGTTTCTTATGTACTAAGAACTGTTCTAAATGCTTTATTTATGTAATGTTCATCACAGGTTTTGGGTAGTTACTTATTATCTCAATTTTACAGATAAAGTGAAATTGAAGAGATGCTCTGTAACTTTTCCAAGGTTACATAGCTGCGAAATGGCAGAGACAGGACTAAAGCCCATGCCGTGTCCCAAGTCCCTGCTCTAATCCATTGTCACAAGGGAAGGGGCGCTTCAGACACTTTGCTATTCCTAAAATTGCAGGAGTAGCCCCCACCCCATCTCTACTGTATTAATTATTTATAGTGAATACAGAGGGTGTAGAGAATCGGTTCTTTAAAAAACAAAAACAAAAACAAAACCACTAAACTTCCAAACCCCTTCTTGTGTTGAGTTGAGCACAGGTGCATGGCACTCTGTGTATGACTCTGACCAGGAAGTGAGGGATTGGCTCTTCTGACCATGCAGGCAGGCACTTGTCCATTTAGAAGGGATATAAAAAGCTTCTATAAGCAGAAGAGGAGGTGCATGTGACTTGATCGCTCTAATTCTTAGTCTCACCATCTGCAAAATCAGCTGTGAAAATCAGTCATCACGTAGCAATGACAAATTCTTTATATTAAGTCCCGGGGAGGGGCTAGATCTCAGCCCCTTCCCTTGGCCTCTCTCTCTCTCTTAGAGCCTGTGTCTGTAACTTCAGAGAGATTTTGTCGCTGCCATGGGGAGCTGGGTCCTCTGCTATGTGACCCTGTGTCTCCTGGGAGCAGGTGAGCTCAGCACACATCCAGGTGGTCAATTCCTATTCTGGGCTTGCCAGGCCCTTCCCTGGCCAGCACCTCCCTTCCAGGCATGATCTCCAGCCTTTGTCTCTTGGACCCTTGGATGCTGACATCTATCAGATGCCATTCCAGCTCACTGGGGCTGGATGGGATGTGACTCTGGAGTGGAAACGGAATTTGAGACACAATGACATGTACTGCTACTGGTACTGGCAGGACCCAAAGCAAAATCTGAGACTGATCTATTACTCAAGGGTTGAAAAGGATATTCAGAGAGGAGATCTAACTGAAGGCTACGTGTCTGCCAAGAGGAGAAGGGGCTATTTCTTCTCAGGGTGAAGTTGGCCCACACCAGCCAAACAGCTTTGTACTTCTGTCCTGGGAGCGCACCACAATGGAAGCACAACCATTGTCTCTCTGTGCGGAAATGTGTCCTCACCCTACAGCCCCCACCACATCCTCTAGCTTAATTTTTTCATTTTTAATATTTTCTTGAGATTTTACTATGTCCTGTTACTTTTGCAAACACAAAAGATACAAAACTGAAAAGAAAATAGATCCTTTATCCAAGGAGCTAAAAGTCTAGCAATAAAGTAGTTAGAATGGAAAATATAATGTATAATACTAAAATCAGAAGTCATTTGGGAGCTTTAGGGAGGACATGCCCAATTCTGTCTGATTGAATCAGAGAAAACAAAGAGGAAGTCACATTAGAACTTCACCAGCTAGACCTGGTTCTGAGTAGGGCATTCTGGGCAAAGAGAACAGCTTTTGCAAAGGCATATTAAAGAGTTTGTCACTTTGGGGAACAGTTTACAAAGAGAAAGAAGATGATCAATTTATATGAATCAAAAGAAATGGAATACATTTGAGGAAGTAGACAGAAAGGAGTTTTTGAAAAAGTTGAGTTTTTGGTTCCGTGAATACAATAAGTATGAAAGTCCTTTGTAGGCTGTTGCTCAAAAGAGAGAGCTGAAGCTTCATTGTCATCAGCAGACAAGCAAACAATACAATTTTTCAATATATATATATATTTTCCTCATGTAACTTTGAAATGATACTATTTTTCAATTTTCCTCATATAACTTTGATCCTTAACAAAGGGCACAGTTTCAAACAATATGAAATCATGTTAGCAGTAGCAGTTCCCATTTGGGATAATAGGGTTCAACTGTCTATGGAACAATGAGATAAAAACTAGAAGCAGGCAACTGCATAGACAAGATGTGAAATTGAGATGCCATAAGGCTGGACTAGAGGTTGAGACTCTGCAGATTTCAGCATGTAAATAATTGAACTATGGGGACAGAAAATTCCAACCAAATATAGATTTAGATCACAGAGATAAAAGGCATGGAAGTTAAGACTGTGGTATTCTGGTTCCTTATGGAGATTAAAGAAGCCTAAGAGTGAGGAGTGATTAGAACATGGGATGTAAAAACAAAAGAGGGAAAGAGAGAGAGTGAGAGTTTTGTTTTGTCTAGTATTTGATATTTCTAAGAAAATTCGGGAAAAAAATAAAGGTAACCCAGGCAGAAGAAGCCGCAAACACTTCTTGGGTAACAGGGAATAGTTGGTAAAATGTCATATGTTAGTTTACTGAGGTGCACAGAACCTTTTCCACTGAGGTTCCTTTTGGAAAGACACAAGACTTAGCTAAGATTCCAAGAAATCACCAAAGTAGGAAATGAAAAGCCTCCATGAATGAAGTTGCATGAGTCTCCTACCAGTGGATAAAGGATAGGATAGGATAAAAGAATAGCTGCAAAGGATAAAAGAATAGCTGAGGCACTGAAATAGAAGCTCCAAGTGAGAGGACTAAATCTAACAAACATGAAGAATTATTATAAAACCACAACAATAAAAGTGGTGTAATATAAGGGCATTGATATATAAATAGATCCAAGGAAAAAAATACATGTTCATAAACACAGAGCAATGGTACTGCAACAATCAAAGAATATATTTTTCAATAAATGGTGATAGGAAAATTGGGTATCTATATAAAGAAAAATAAGTGCAATTGGACACATCTCAATATATAGCCAAAATCAATCCCAGCTATATTAAAAGCATAATTGTAATAAAATCACAAGGCTTCTAGAATACTGTATAAGAGCACATCTTCATGGCCTTAAAGCAGGGAAAGAGTTCTTATTCCCTCAATCAGTAGGGAACAGATTGATAAAAATGGCTATATCAAAATTAACATATTGAATTTATCAATGTTAATTATGTAACAGTGACAAGATTGACTGTATAGTGACATATCATTAAATATCTATATATTTATACCAAATTAATATCCCTATTTATATTTATATATTCAAGAAAAGCTAGTATATAAATTTTTTAAAAACCTACAAACTAATTTTTCTACAGATCAATGAGAAAAAGGTAACTGTCAATGGAAAAAGTGAGTGAAAACCATAAGCACCTAGCAAAATCTCACTGGTCATTAAACATGTAAATGTGGCTATATTTAATAATCAGGGAAATAGAAATTGAGTCCAACGAAATATATACCCACAAGAATGGCTACGATGATAAAAATAGTAACTATCAAGTGTTGGCAAGGCAAAGTGTCAACAAGAACTCTCTGAATCACTGGCTAGAGTGTATATCGGTAGATCCAGTTTGGAAAACAATTTGGTATTATCTAGTAAAGTTCAAGATGTGTGTACCCACTATCCATCAATTCCACCCTTGAGAAAGGCTTTTCTAGAGAAACCCTTCTACGAAAATCAGGACAAGAATATTCACTGTAATACATCTGTCATGGCAAAAACGTATAAAATATCCAAATGTAACTTAAGAGAAGAATAAATCCTGGTTATTAAAAAGAAATTACACAGCAGTGAAAATTCATGAACTAAAACTAAACACACAAACATGAATGAATTTCACAAATTTGAATGAAAAATTACATTGCAGAAGAAAGGTACAGTATTGTCTCGTTTGTGTAAAGTTTGAAAGCATCTAAAACTAAACACTATTTTGTTTGCTTATGTGCCTATGCATTAAAATATAAAAGAGAAGCAAATAATTACAAAAACAAACACCTCAATAGAGTTAGAGAACAGAGGCATGGAATCTGGGAAAAGAAATAAGAGCTTTCAAATATTCTGGTAATCTTTTATTTCCTGTGCCAAGTTGTTTTTTTAAGTGATCATTCTGTTGGTATTTTATCAAGTTATTATCTATATATTCAAAGTCCATTTTGTAATGTGGAGAAAACAACCTCACTGAACAATTAAATTAGTAAGGAGAAATCTATGGAAAGATATACATTAAGCTGTTAACATTACTTACCTGAAATGAGGATGAGATGGAGGAAGAGAAAAGTAAGCGAAAAAAAAAATCATCAAAAAATGCACAATTTAAAATAAATAGTTACAGAGAGAAAAAGCAAAAAAGGGAGGTTATGTAAAAGAAGCACTAGTAAATGAACAAGCTAAAATACACCAGAAAGAGCTAGAAGGTGAAGTATTTTTCAAAGCAGTCACTAGTTTCAGAATCATAAAGATAGCAATTACAACAGAGATCTGAAATATATAAAAGATAATTAGATAACTAATAGCCAGAAGGAATGTCCAGTCTTGAGTTAGAAACTGATGCTCAAATTAATGGCAAAGGACGTTTTTGAAACAACTGTGAAACTTTGCATAAAAACTAAATAGTAGATAAGATGAAAATGCATCGATGAGAAAGGATGATCATTAACTGAAAAAAAGCTTATCAAACAGAATTTCAAGAATATTGTTTACTAAAAAAAGTGTCTATATATCTACACATTTATATATGGGGCAGAGAAGGATCTAGAAAGACTCACTAAGGTGTTAACAGTGATAATTGCTTTCTGGCAGTGGTATCATATTTTTATTTTGTTATTTTATTTTCTAACTTTCTAAAATATGAGTGTATTGCTTATATTAGCAAAAATAGACATAACATATTTTTAAATGAATACAAAATAACTGAGTTATATTTCCTGAGTTAGGATAAAAGCTTTTTTTCCCTGATACTATGAAGTGTTTTTGCTCAGGAACATGAAGCAATAACATGATGATTATAAGTCAGTGGAGGGATCACGTCACAAGAAGGTGCAGAAAGGGGATGAAAAAGCCTCATCCCTTTGCAACGTCAATGCGATCATGGGCACCAGGCTCCTCGGCTGTGCAGCCCTGTGTCTCCTGGCAGCAGATGCGCCCTGAGCACAAAAGAAAAATCCTTGTCCTGGGCTTGCCAACCAGCAGATCCAAGCTTTGTTTTGTTTTGTTTTGTTTTGTTTTGTTTTGTTTTGTTTTGTTTGTTAAGCTCTTTCCTGGACTCTTTCTACAGCATCTGTTTCTTTCTCTTACAGACTCTTTTCATGCCAAAGTCACACAGACTCCAGGACATTTGGTCAAAGGAAAAGGACAGAAAACAAAGATGGATTGTACCCCCGAAAAAGGACATACTTTTGTTTATTGGTATCAACAGAATCAGAATAAAGAGTTTATGCTTTTGATTTCCTTTCAGAATGAACAAGTTCTTCAAGAAACGGAGATGCACAAGAAGCGATTCTCATCTCAATGCCCCAAGAACGCACCCTGCAGCCTGGCAATCCTGTCCTCAGAACCGGGAGACACGGCACTGTATCTCTGCGCCAGCAGTCAATCCACAGCACTGAAATGTCAGTTCCTCTTAGCACACAAACTTGTCACAGACCCAGCTCAGGAAGCAGGTGATGTATTAGGCTGGAAGGGAGTAACAGAAAATAACTGGAGCCAGCTTAAGCCACAGTGTAATTTAACACAAGGATAAAGGGTGTTTAGCAGAAGTCAAGAGGTGATAGAAGTTCTGAAAAGGCACCACTAGGGCTGGGCTCTAGAATGGCTATCTCTCCAGCGCTGATTTTTATTCAATTTTGGCTGCTGAATGCTTTTCTCTCCCTGTACACCATCTCTTTTTCTCCAGGCCTCGTGGTGAGAATGAGATGGTCACTAAAGATTACAAATTCAGTTGCCATCATTTCCCTACACTGATAAATACCAGGCTGGCTCTTTCTAAGCCTCAATTCAAAATCCCAAGAGAAAAAAACAGATCAGTCATGATCCAGCCATTAACCTTCTCACAGAGCACTCAGCAGTAGGCATGTATGTATATATTTAAAATCACATAAATATTACTTTTCCACTCAGCTCAAGAAAGGGAAGTGCTCCGTTTTTCTGTAAGTACATTTGGTCTTGTTGCTTCTACATGATAGAGAGTACTCATACCCATTTCTTCAGAAATACATAGCCAGATTTTCTCCAGTTTTCTGCCAGAATTGAAAATTCTTGTACAAATACCTTCATAGACTTGTATGATTGCTTTATAGGATTATATACCCAGAGCAAGTCATGATTGCTGAGACATGGAATTCTATGCATATTTTATCTATCTAAATACCACCACGGGTTCTTCAGGATCACTGTATACATCTGCAATCCCACATAAAAGTGAATAGGGTGTTTTCCTACATCCTAATATCTCCTTTAATCCTTATCCAGTGATCTAGATTGTTCTCAGTCTAGCAATGTAAAGAGATTCCAATCTCTGTCTCTCTTTCTCTCCACCCCCCACCCCTGCAACCCTCTCACCTACTGCCAGAATATCATCAGTGTTTACCATAAAGATACAGGTGACAATTTTTTAAAACTAAATAAAACCAATAATTTAAAGGAACTGAGAGATTACGTTATACTACTATAATAATAACTGGCAGCAATCTAGAAGGCTGAATAATGTTCTCTCCCTCCTTTTCTTTCCTTTGCAATTTTCTAATTACTAATGAGTTTGAGCACTTCTTCATGTGATAGTGGTCCTGGATTTCTGTTCTCAAAATGGCCTATCCATATCCGCTGGCAAATTCTCTATTGACAGTTCTATATTTTCCTCAATGATTTGTAGGGGGTCCTGAGATATACAAGATATTAGTCTCCTTTCTGAAACTTTAGGCACTGGAAATACCACCACCCAATATGGCACCACCTCTGTCCCAGACTTCAAAGAATCAGTAGATGTGGGAGGAACCAGGTGATCTCTTACCTTAGCAGGTGCATGCGTGTTATCTCCATTATGTGAATGAGACTTCTATCTTTCACTTCCACTCTGCTGAGTGCTCAACTTGCTGTCTCTTCCATTATTACTCATGTCTTTAAGCAGCATAGAAAAGTTACCAGCCATGGCTGTCCCCAAACTACTATCACCCACTGACAACCCTTTCCATCCAGAACTGCTGAAAAAATGCTTCACTCCATTTAGCTGTGCTTTTTTACAATATGGGGCAAATTTGATTCAAATTAATTCTTATTGCTCTTTTCTAAGTGAATTATGCTGCCTGGTTATAGCAAAGGACAGAAAAACTTCACACATCTTTTTGGAAGACTTAATACTTGCCCACACATTATCTCTTTTAGGGCCAAATTCCATCCACTGCAAACACCTATCTCCTTGAGCTCTTGATATGACAGCTGATCCATTTTGATTTCACAAATGCTTACAGAGCAACTCCCATTCACTGAGACATAAAGGCATTCAGAAACTTTCAGCTACACTACATGGAATTTTGGTCTCTGGGGAAAGGGAGAAGAGTAAAAAGAACCATCAAAATGTATTTCAAATAATGTGTATAAGGATGACAAAATATAGATTACTTTCATGAAAAACATTAGAACATTATATTGTCTTTGGGAGTGATTTATCAGTGGATAAATTAAAACAAATTCCTGAGGAAGTTTGGGAAAAAAATAAATTTAGGAAAACAAATTTTAAATGATTTCCTGAAAACCATCAGGGTTTACCATAAAGTTAACAATTGAAAAAAATCAAATAATTTAATAGTGAATGAGAATATGAATACAGAAAATTCATATGAATATGGAATGAAATATTAGTAAAAATGTGTTTGAGAACACTTACAAATGAATTTTGTTGTCCAATTTGATTAAGAGTCTAGTCAAAGTGTTACTCTTTTAAACTACTTGTAATAGTGTCAGTTTGACAATCTGGAACAAAAACCTTTAAAATGCTTATTTTTGGGAATTTGGCTCTAAATCAAAATAGATAGTTGTTACTGTACTTGTTCTATTGCCTTAAGCCACTATAAAACTTGACAAAAATTGTAAGACAACTATGTTCAGACATCAGACAACAGGCAGTACACGTCGCCATCTCTGGGAAAGAGGAAACCTAGAAGGGGAATTTCGCTATTGTCCTAAGACTCTGCCTTGGTATGACTTCTGGGCTGCACCACAAGTATATGAAGCCCAAGCAGTGGGCAGTGGTCTACCCAGCATAGGGAGGCAGAGATTGAGTTCAGAAGTATGGACATGGCTGATAGTGATAGGGATAAGCTACTGCAGAGAAGGAAGCTATGCAGAATAAGACCTCCAAATATTTTATGAGGTCCCCTTAAGTCTTTGGTCAAAAACTAAGCAGCAAATGCATGGGAAACGCCTCCATAAGACCTGGCAGAGAACAGTTGCTGGGTAGTTGTGAGAGGAATAGAGATTCTGACAGTCATACGAGCATGGGAGACATGAATCCTGACTGGGCAGAGCTGAGAGGCCTTGCTGAAACCCCTGGGAATGCAGCTGGCACCACATAAGGGTCACATCTCAAGAGAAGGACTACCAACGTCCTAGAGTAAACCACTCCAGAACTGCCCTAACAAAGTTCAGCAAGTCTCAAAAGGATGTCGCTGATCTTCCAATAAGTTCACTGCCTTTTGAAGAAAAATATCTCAGCACTCTCTAAATAAAGGCAAATATAAACATATACATATATATAATCTGTAGATATATAAGTCTGTAGAGAGATATGTATCTCTAGAGTGTCAACAATGCAGCATCTACAATTTTGATCTTGACATGAAAAAAAATATTAGACATGGGAAGAACTAGGAAATGTTACACATGGGAAAAAAATAAACAATAAAAACCAACCCTGAAATAATACAAATGTTGGAAATTTCAGATGAGAATTTTCAAGCAGTTATTATAGAAATATGTTCAAGAATTTGGAGGAAAATATGGTCATGATTTAATCAACTGATGAAATTGATTAACCCATAGCAATCAAGACAAAAAGGGGAAAGACACAAATTACCATATCAATGATGAAGGAAAGCATATGTCTATAGATACAAAAGACATTAAAATAGCGACAGAATATTATAAGTATATGCAATACATTCTTCAACTTAGATGAAATGAAATTTCTTGAATAATACCACTTACCAAAATGATTCAAAATGAAATAAGAAATGTAAAGAACTTCAAATGAAGGAAGTTAAATTTTTTATCAAAAGCCTTCCCTCAAAGGAAACTCCAGACCTGAATTATTTCTTCATGAATTCTATTCTAAAATTAAGGAAAAAAGACTATCCATCTTACATAAATTTTTTAAGAAAATAGAAGAGGCAGAAACACTTCACAACACTTTTATAAACCCAGCAAAAACCTAATGCCAAAATCTGTCAAATGCATTACAGAACAGTATCTTTTATGGCTGCAAATGAAAGAAAACTTTTCACAATATATTAACAAATTAAATCCAAATATGTCTCAATAAAATACTGGCAAACTGGATCTAGGAGCACATCAAAAAGCTTATCCACCACGATCAAGTTGGCTTCACTCCCGGGATGCAAGGGTGGTTCGACATATGCAAATCAATAAACGTAATTCATCACATTAACAGATCTAAAGACAGAAACCACGTGATTATCTCAATAGATGCAGAGAAGGCCTTCAATAAAATTCAACATCATGTTAAAATCTCAATAAACTAGGTATTGAGGAACATACCTCAAAATAATAAGATCTATTTATGACAAACCCACAGCCAATATCATACTGAATGGGCAAAAGCTAGAAGCGTTCCCCTTGAAAACGAGCACAAGACAAGGATGCCCTCTCTCATCACTCCTATTCAACATAGTATTGGGAGTTCTGGCCAGAGCAATCATGCAAGAGAATGAAATACAAGGTATTCAAATAGGAAGGGAGAAAGTCAGATTGTCTTTGTTTGCAGATGACATAATCCTATATCTAGAAAACCCCATTGTCTCAGCTCAAAAGCTTCTTAAGCTGATAAGCAGCTTCAGCAAAATCTCAGGATACAAAATCAAAGTACAGAAGTCACAAGCATTTCAATACATCAACAACAGGCAAGCAGAGAACAAAATCATGAATGAACTCCCATTCACAATTGCTACAGAGATAATAAAATACCTAGGAACATAGCTAACAAGGGAAGTGAAGGACTTCTTCAAGAATAATTACAAACCACTGCTCAAGGAAACCAGAGAAGACACAAACAAATGGAAAAAGATTTAATCCTCATGGATAGGAAGACTCAATATCATGAAAACTGCCATATTGCACATAGTAATTTATAGAGTCAATGCTATTCCCATTAAACTACCATTGACATTCTTCACAGAATTAGGAAAAACTATTTTAAAATTCATATGGAACCAAAAAAGAGCCCAAACAGCTAAGACAATCATAAGCAAAAAGAACAAAGCTGGAGGCGTCATGCTACCGGACTTCAAACTATAAGGCTACAATAACCAAAACAGCATAGTACTGGTACAAAAACAGACATATAGACCAATGGAACAGAGTAGAGAACTCAGAAATGGATCACACATCTACACCATCTGATCTTCGACAAACCTGACAAAAACAAGCAATGGGGAAAGGATTCCCTATTTAATAAAAGGTGTGGGGAGAACTGGTTAACCATTTGCAGATAATTGAAACTAGACCTCTTCCTCACACCTTATACTAAAACTAAATCAAGATAGATTAAAGATTACATGGAAAACCCAAAACTATAAAAACCCTAGAATAAAATCTAGGCTATATCATTCAGATATAGGCACATAGATTTCATGATGAAATCATCAAAAGCAATTACAACAAAAGCAAAAATTGACAAATGGGATCTAAAGAGCTTCTGTACAGCAAAAGAAATTATCATCATAGTGAACAGGAAACCTACAGAGTGGGAGAAAATTCTGTAGTCTATCCATCTGACAAAGATCTAATACCCAGAATCTACAAGAAATTCAAACAAATTTACAAGAAAAAAACAAACAATCCTATTAAAAAGTGGGCAAAGGACATGAACAGACACTTCTCAAAAGAAGACATTCATGAGGCCAACAAACATACCAAAAAAAAAATCTCAACACCACTGATCATTAGAGAAATGCAAATCAAAACCACAATGAGATACCATCTCATACCAGTCAGAACAGCCATTATGAAAATGCTGGCAAGGTTGTGGAGAAATAGGAATGCTTTTCCACTGTTGGTTAGAACATAAATTAGTTTAACCATTGTGGAAGATAGTGTGGTGCTTCCTCAAAGATCTAGAACCGGAAATACCATTTGACCCAGAAATCCCATTACTGGGTATATATCCAGAGAAATATAAATCATTCTATTACAAAGATACATGCATGCATATGTTCATTGCAGTACTATTCGTAATAGCAAAGACATGGAATCAACCCAAATCCCCATCAACGATAGACTGGATAAAGAAAATGGTACATGTACACCATGGAATACTATGCAGCCATAAAAATGAATGAGATCATGTCCTTTGCAGGGACATGGATGAAGCTGGAAGCTGTTATCCTCAACAAACTAACCCAGGAACAGAAAAACAAATGTTGCATGTTCTCACTTATAAGTGGGAGCTAAACAATGAGAACACATGAACACAGGGAGAGGAACAACACACACTGGGGTCTGTTGGGGGGTGGAGTGGGGGGAGGGAGAGCATTAGGAAAAATAGGTAATGCATGCTGGACTTAATATCTAGGTGATGGGTTGATAGGTGTAGCAAAGCACCATGGCAAACATTTACCTATGTAACAAACCTGCCCATCCTGCACATGTACCCCAGAAATAAAAAAAAAAGAAAGTAGAGTTGCTATAAAGTACATCTACTGGGGGGGAGGTAACACCAGATAATTCACTCAAATTTTGATGAACAAAAGCTTCCAAAAATTAATTTTCTTCAAAAAATAGAACATTTACTTTTGGATCAAAAATAAATAAATAAATCCAAATATGTATGGATATATGTATATATTTGTGTGCATATACATATGTGTATATGTGGACAATTCTACCACATGTCCAAGGGAGTTTATTGCAGGAGAAACAGTGGTTTAGCATTCCAAAATCAATATACTTCACCATATTAGCAGAATAATGAAGAATAATCACTTGACCATCTCAATAGATGCAGAGAAACCTTTGACAAAATCAATACTTATCCAAAAGACACACTATCAGTAAACTGGTAAGACAGTTATCTTAATCTGATTAAAGTTATAAATGAAAAATTTACAAATAACATCCGATGTAATAGTGTGTTGAGTACTTTCCTCCTATAATAAGACACAAGCCATGAAGTTTTCTCATTACTTTTTACTTTATTTTAATTATAGATGAGGTCTTACTATATTCCCCAGGTGGGACTTGAATTCTTGGGCTTAATAAATGCTTGCACTAAGCTGCTCACTACTTTTATTCAATATTATATTGGAGATCTTAACCAGCATGATAAAGCAAAAAAATAAAAGTTTTAAACATTGAAAAGGAAGAAGTACAATTATTTGTAGATTACATGATTGTTTACATAGAAAATCATAAGAAATCAAGGAACAACAACTAGAAATAGTGAATTTACCAATATCACAGGATACATCAGTATTTTAAAAATCAAGTTTTTTTTACTAGTTGAAAACAATTGAAACACAAACTTCAGAAAATAATACTATTTACAATAGTGCCAATAACAAATTACTTAAGAACAATTTAGAATAGATGTTCAATTAAAAACTACAAAACTCCACAAATGGAAATTAAAGAAAATATTTTTAAATGGAGAGATATATCATGTTTATGGATTGGAAGTTTCAATGCATTAAGATGGTAATTTTCAACAGGTATGTTGGAAAAACTGGATAATCATATGGAAAAAATGAACCTTTACTGTCACCTACCACTATAAATGAAAGTTAAATTGAGATGTTTCATAGAGGTAATTATAAAAGCTGAAACCACAAATATTCTAGAATAAAACATAGAAAAACATCTTTGTGCGTTGAGAGTGGGCAAAATTCTCTTAGGACACCAAAAACTCTAAGCAGTAGTGAAGAAAGAAAATTATTTATCCTTTGGCAGCCTTTTATGCCACAGGGTGTGTGTTATACAGATCAACAACTCACACATGGAATGAGGGGTTCAACAGTCCTTAGAATCACGTACATACGCACAGCAAACAGATGGACATGGTCTGTGGGTGAGACCAAGAAGTCTGTGTTTTGCTTGTGGTAGAGTATAGGTCAGAGCAAAAGTGGATTATAAATACGATTTGAGAGGTGCGTGAGCCAGCCCAGAGTACAGAATATATTGGCCTGTGCCATGAAGAACCCTCTCATTTGTCCAGAAATTGGGATGCCTTTTTCAATTTCATTCCCGTGCAAATGTGTGTCTCCTCCATTCATTCCTCTGATAATGCTCACTCACTCCTCCTCGGGCATAGATTCTGCTCCCAGAATGATTTCTGCTTCTCCTTTCCTTGCTCTGCACCTACAAACTTCTATCAGAAATGCCCGGGAAAACGGTCTCTCAACCACTGGATATGAGTCCTCTCTTCTCTCAACTAATGTGATCACCAAGAATAGTTCATATTCAGCTCCCAAATATTAATTCCACTCAAATTACTGCCCACAGCAGGGGGCACCAAAACAGCATGTTTACTTTAAGAATAGCAAATAAGGGCAATGATTTTTTTTTTTTTACGTTGAAGACAAAGCCAAAATAAAAGTTTTTATGATCATTGTCTTGTTTATATTCATCAGATGCCTGGCTAAGGAATTTACTGGAACAAATCCGTATTTTCATTCATATTACTAATGGAGAACTCTAACCAAAAAGAGAAGAAGGGAGGGGACACTGGAATATGTCATCTGGAGTGTAGGCAAAGGCTGTAAAATGTGCTTGGGTACTCCTAAATAAAGCAACAACTATTCAAAATTACACAGGAGAGGCAGAAGTGGTGAAGGAGGAGGTAGATGAACAAGAGAGGCCATGAGGACTTGGTAATTACCAAAGATGACTCATGTGAGGACATGAAGGCTCATTGTTTATTAAGCCTACTTTGTATATGTTTGAAATTTTTAGAATTAAAAGTAAAAATATCTAAAAATAAGACTTTACCAATTTGACATGCAGCAGGAATGATTAGGGTAGGATGCCATGGTGTATCCATGCATGAGGGAGGGTCAGTGATATGGACAGGAGACGGAAATACTGGGTAGAAGAGGGTGGTTTCCCAGCAAAGGCCCCACCCTCAAGCCTGGAGACCTGCAGCTGTAAATGGGGACAAGCATTCCTGTTTTCATTCCCAAAAAGTTGTCTTTTGACCCACCATGCCCCCTTTCTTTTACCCATATAAACCCCAAACCCCAGGCTTCAGAGGCAGAGAAGCAGGCTAGGAGACAAGCAGAGGGAGGGCAGAACAACGTGGCAGAGAAAAAGAGGAGGAACGTCTGAAACCCGAGAGGAGTTCAGCTGGAGGTGGTCAGAGAAGAGTTCAGTCCCTGGATGGCCAAACTCCAAGGGGAAGATCATCTTCTCACTCCATCCCCCCTTCCAGCTCCCCATCCATCCCACTGAGAGCCACTGCCACCACTCAATAAAACCCCACATTCATCCTTCAAGCCCATGTGTGACCCAATTCTTCCAGGACGCTGGGCAAGAGCTCGGGACACAGAAAGCTGTCACACTGGCCCTCTGCCCTTGCAAAAAGGCAGAGGGTCCACTGAGCTGGTTAACACTCAAGCCGTGTGCAGATGGCAGAACTATCTGCCCACTTGGGCTCCTGCATCTGTCCCTCTGTGTGTTCCCTTTCCCCTCAGGGGTTTGAGCAGTTGCAGCAACTGAAAAGGTGAGCAACACTCCTGTCGCACGTCCTTCCAGGGGGGTCAGGGAACTCTTCCTTTTTCACCAGGACGAGCACAGATCTGAAGCAGCAAAGAGCCAGTTGTTTATTACATTGAACAATGTTTCACACTATCACCATAACTGTTCTGTACTTGCAATCTGCTGCATTAAATATTAGCTCTTTCCTCCTAAAGTCAGGAATAATTTGTGTTAGAATAAAATGAATTCTTTAATGAACAACTGTATTTTCAGCTAATTCAAAATAGGAATGAAGGCGTTAAGTACTTCTTTGAAGCACATACCCACATTAAACTAACATCTTTCTACAATAAGCCAATATTTTTAATAAAGCTCTGTGCCCAGAAAACATTGACCAGAAAAGCAGGAGCCACTAAAAAATAGGAGCAATTTGAAACAAAGTTAGGAATCCTGTCCTTCTTACAACAAAAAAGTCTCAAACTTTACAGAGAATGTATTCAAATTGCATAGTTTACCAAGAACTGAGTTAGAATAAATGATTAAATGCAGAAAAAAAGGAGAAGAGTTATAATGTCCTATCATTCAAGTGAGACTAGACTTCCTTTATTCGAAATTCAATTTGGTTTTGAATTTTCTCCAGCCTGTTTTATCAGGAGGATGATGTCACCTTGAACAACTGAAATGGATATGCCCTGAGAAAGGGGAGAGATACAACTCTCTGGTGGTTGCCAGTAAAGCGCCAGAAAAACAGAAGAGAAGCAAGTAGAAGAATTTCAGCATCTGCTAAGAACATATAATACATAAGCCAACATGGCATCTTTCTTTAAGACCCAGTACCTTGGGAGGGACAATGACATCACTTCCTGAATCCTCCCAGTTTTCTATTTCCATGCCCTGCTTCCCTCAACATCCAGAGCTGGAAACACCTCCATCCTGCCTCTTCATGCCATGGCCTCCCTGCTCTTCTTCTGTGGGGCCTTTTATCTCCTGGGAACAGGTGAGTTTGGAACACAGATGGGGAAATCACTGCCTTAAATTTTCCAGGTTCTGAATTAAGCCTATCCTCAGAGATTGCAGCACGAGGATATTTACCAGTTTCTGTCTTCAATTTCTGTCTTATTTCCCACAGGGTCCATGGATGCTGATGTTACCCAGACCCCAAGGAATAGGATCACAAAGACAGGAAAGAGGATTATGCTGGAATGTTCTCAGACTAAGGGTCATGATAGAATGTACTGGTATCGACAAGACCCAGGACTGGGCCTACAGTTGATCTATTACTCCTTTGATGTCAAAGATATAAACAAAGGAGAGATCTCTGATGGATACAGTGTCTCTCGACAGGCACAGGCTAAATTCTCCCTGTCCCTAGAGTCTGCCATCCCCAACCAGACAGCTCTTTACTTCTGTGCCACCAGTGATTTGCACAGTGCTTCTTGGCCACCTGCTCTCTACACAGAAAGACAGACACATGGGTGAGTTGTTTGCTCTGAAGGGTACCTGGATGTGGGTTGTGGGATGTGGGGTGTTTAGAGCTTTCAGTGGTCTTAGGTAGTGTGAGCTAAGGGCCACTTTGGATCAATGTCCCCAAGCCATGTGATGACTCTGAAAGCACAGGCTACACTGAATCAATCTCCCCTGTCTATTTATTTTTCCTAGGGAGCTAGACGAATGGTGACCTTTCAGGAGAAGGAACTTGAGCATTTGACAGAAGCTCATGATTTTCAACAAGAGCATTTCTTATGAGCTGAATACAATGCAGTTTTTATAGTCCTTTTGCCATTATTTCCACCCACTTTGCAACATCCCACACTTTGTTCTGTTCCCACTGACAGCTCCTTTATCCTGTCTAACCTTTCTCTGCCCCAGTTCTTCCAAGCTCAGCTCCACCATTTAGCTCTATAATTGATTGCCTTTCTACTAAAAACAAAATAACTAGCTTGTTTTCTAAAACTTCACTGTAAGTAAATTTAATTGTCATTAAATCTGACTCAGAAGTTAAAGTTCAAGTAACAGAGACTGTGATTTACAAAAGTAATTTTTCATCTACTACCCCACACTTTGATCTCTGCTGAGATTCATTTTAACCTGCAGGTGCAGATAGACTTGCATTATTATCTGGATGTACTGAATTTCAAAAAATAAAATTCCCTGTCCCCAGTATGAGGTCAAAGCTAGGAGCTTGGAAGTGCCCCTTGTTTCCAGGCACTAGAATAATTCCCTGGTTCCCCTGCTGTGGGGATTCTTTTAGGAGCCAGTGAGGCCCAGGCACAAAAATAATTGATCAAGGACTGCCAGAGCTTGACGTAAAAGTCTTCCTGAGAATCAAGTTGATGTCTTCCTCATGGATTTAGTCTTCTTGTCCCATAAGCCTCAATTATTTCAGCAAACGAATCCATGGGACTTGGTGACTGTTCAGAAATGAAGAATCCAACTTGTTCCCTTTTCTACCTGTTCTCATGTGTAAAGCATGTTACTTTTAGGGATTCTTTCTCATTGGCTTCCATTTAAAAAACAGGTTTCTCCAGAGTTTTGTTTCCTGCTTTCTATGCACACCTCATCAAGTCTTATCAGCAATAATAATTCTTCCCTTACAAGCTGTTAACTGTCCCAGTTAATTGTCTCCTGGACATTTCTGATAGATTTCCCCAGGATTTTTCCTTCTGCCCTCCTTTTTCCTCAGTACACATGTCTTTCCTCAACCTTCGCATTCATTGTCATGACAACTTCTTTCATAGGTTCCTGCCTGGCAAATTCAACTATCTACTGGACACTTGAAGCTGGATGCTCCATAGGCAATTCAAACTCAGTTTATCCCTGAAATAAACTGCCTCTCCATCCTTGCACTTGCCCATTTTGGCCACACACTGTATTTCTATCTCAGTGATTGGAACAGCCCTTCTAGGTTCCTCATTTTTGCTATGCCTCATATTAAATCAGTTTCTAAATCTATTACTTGTATATCACACATTGTCATAGTTTATGTTCTCCAAAAGCAGATTTTGAGAGGAAAATTAGTGTGCGGGAAGGTTTGTGGAAACTGCCCTTGCAGTCCACGTGGGCAGAGGGAAATGGGGCAGAGGGAGAAGTTGGGCTTTGCTGTATCCTCAACAAAGTCCTTCACTCACCCCACAGGGAGCTCTGAGTCTGGATGGTCCTTTAGTGCCATCCCAAGGTGAGATGGCAGGTCTTATTCCCACTTTCCTTGTAACCATGTCATTATATGTGAGTTGCTCTGAGAAGCACTCATGAATTTGATGGGGAGGAAGTGTCTCTTTAGAACAAGACCATTCACAGAGAGATGTCGGCATCACAGTTTCTAATATACACATATTTATCTGATTCAGTTACCCCTCTCCCTCCTCATTGCTTCTACCTCAGTGCAGACCCTCATCACTCATTGCCTAGAAATAAATGCAATGCCCTCTCCCTGGCTTACTAGCTTCTTACCCCTTTCCCTTACCCTATTTCTCACATTGCCACCAGCATGACCACATATGACATTCCTCACACAACACACAAAGCCCTTCGGAAATGGTTCTCCAACTAAACATCTGGCCAAATTGGCCGAATTCACTCCAGCACTTTAGACTGTAGCTGAACTGAACTTTTTATATTTCCCTGAATATACCAGCCTGAATTGCACAGGTGTACCTTTGCCAAAGCTCTTTCCTTCATCTGAAATGAGCTTCTTTATTCCTTTTTTGTCAAAACTAATTTTTTAATTTCAACTTTTATTACAGATTAGTGGGCACATGTTGTGCAGGTTTGTCACATGGGTAAATTGCGTGATGCTGAGACTTCAGGTCCCAACAATCCCATCACCCTGGACATAAGCATAGAATCCAACAGGTGATTGTTCAGCCCATGCCCTGCTCCCTCCTTCTCCCATCTAGTGAGCCCCAGTGTCTATGGTTTCTATCTTTACAATCATGTGTATTCATTTAGCTCCCACTTAACATATAGTATTTGATTTTCTGTTCTTGCATTAATTGCTTAAGATAATGTCCTCCAGCTCCATCCATGTTGCATAAAGGGAATGATTTTGTTCTTTTATGGCTGCATGGTATTCCATGGTGTATATGTACCACATTTTCTTTATCCAGTTCACTGTTAATGGGTGCTTAGGTTGATTCAATGTCCTTGCTATTGTGTATAGTGCAGCAATGAACATAATGGGTACATGTGTCCTTATGACAGAATAAATTATTTCCCTTTGGGTATATATCCAGTAGCGGGATTGCTGGGTCAAATGGTAGCTCCATTTTAAGTTCTTTGAGAAATCTCCAAACTGCTTTACACAGTGGCTGAACTGGTTTGCATTCCCACTAACAGTGTATAAGTGTTCCCTTTCTTCTGCAGCCTCACCAACATCTATTGTTTGAAATAAATCTTGAGTGCCTGGCTAATCCTCACATATCCTTTAATTCTCAGATCAAAGATGAGCTTATCTATAACAGTTTTTCCAATGTCTGTAGACAAAGATTCAGCTTTTCTCTTGTGTGTGATAGTTTATGCATTTCAAAGTTATCATAGTTGTTATGTCCCTTCATACTTCTTTAACTTTTATTTTGGGTTCATGGGGACATGTACAGGTTTGTTATAATAAACAGTTATATGCAAAACTGTGATGCTGATCTCTTTCTTTTTATGGCTGCATAGTATTCCGTGATGTATATGTACTATATTTTCTTCACCCAGCTTACTGTTGGCGGCCTTTTAGGTTGATTCCATGTGTCTGCTATTGTGAATAGTGCTGCAATGAACATCTGTGTGCATGTGTCTTTATGATAGAATGATTTCTACTCTTTTGGGTATATGCACAATAATGGGACTGCTGGGTCAAATGGAAGTTCTGTTTTCAGTTCTTTGAGGAATCACCATACTGCTTTCCATGATGGCTGAACTAATTTACACTCTCACCAGCAGCATATAAGCAATCCCTTTTCTCAGCAGCCTTGTAAGGATCTGTTATTTTTTGACTTCTGATAATAACCATTCTGCCTGGTGTGAGATGGTATCTCATTGTAGTTTTGATTTGCATTTCTCTAATGATTAGTGATGTTGAGCATTTTTTCATATGTGTGTTGATCACATGTATACCTTTTGCTGAAAAGTGTCTGTTCATGCCCTTTGCCCACTTTTTAATGGGGTTATCTGTTTTCTGCTTGTAAGTTTAAGTTCCTTATAGAATCTGGATATTAGACCTTTGATGCATATATAGTCTGCAAATATTTTCTCCCATTCTGTAGTTTGTCTATTTACTCTGTTGATAGTTTCCTTTGCTGTGCAGAAGCTCTTTAATTAGGTCTCATTTGTCAATTTTTGATTTTTTTGAAATTGCTTTTGGTATCTTCATCATGAAATCTTTGCCAAGTCATATGATTAGGATGGTATAATATTTCCTAGGTTATCTTCCAGGGGCTTTATAGCTTTAGGTTTATATTTAAGTCTTTAATCCATCTTGGGTTGATTTTTCTATATGGTATAAGGAAGGGATCTAGTTCAATCTTTGGCATATGGCTAGCCAGTTATCCCCAGCACCATGTGTTGAATAAGGAGTTCTTTCCCCGTTGCTTGTTCTAGTCAGCTTTGTCAAAGACCAGATGGCTGTAGGTATGTGGCATTATTTCCTGGCTCTCTATTCTATCCCATTGGTCTATATCTGTTTTTGTACAGTACACCATGCTGTTTTAGTTACTGTACCCTTGCAGTGTAGGTTAAAGTTGGTAACATGATGCCTCTAGCCCTTGTTCTTTTGACTTAGGATTGCCTTGGCTATTTGGGCTTTTTGGTTCCACATGAATTTTAAAATACTGTTTTTTCTAATTCTGTGAAAAACGTCATTAGTAGTTTGATAGGAATATTAGGTTGGTGCAAATGTATTTGCAGTTTTTGCATTGTTGGAATTTGCCATTTGGTATTGAAATACATTCTTAAGTAAATGTGGTTATGTTATACATCATTTTAATGAACATTCTCACTTTATTTTTTTGCTAATTACTTATTACTTGCTACTTATTTGGTATTTATTTTAGACTATCCACATGGTGTTAGACAAAAAGCAGATTTGAGTGATTTTCTTATTCAAGTTCAAACTGAGTCATAAAGTGGCAGAGATAACCCGCAACATCAGCAACGCATCTGGCCCAGGAACTGCTAATGAACATACATACAGTGCAGTGTTGGTTCCAGAAGTTTTTCAAAGGAGATGAGAGCCCTGAAGATGCAGAGTATAGTGGCAGGTGATCAGAAGTTGACAATCACCAGTTGAGAGCAATCATCAAAACCGATCCTCTTACAACTAGGCGAGAAGTTGTTAAAGAACTCGAGGTTGACCACTCTACAGTTGTTCAGCATTTGAAACAAATTGGAAAGGTGAAAAACTCGATAAGTGGGTGCCTCATAAAGTGAGCAAAACTTTTTTTAAATTGTCATTTTAAAGTGTCATCTCTTATTCTATGCAATAACAACGAACCATTTCTTGATCAGATTGTGACATGGAATGAAAAGTGGATTTTATATGACAACTGCCAACAATCATCTCAATGGTTGGCCCGAGAAGCTCCAAAGCACTTCCCAAAGCCAAACTTGCACCAAAAAAAGGTCATAGTTGTGGGCGGCAAGCCTCCCAGGTGCCGAGGCAAGAGACCGAGGACACGAGCTGCTCCAGTATAATAAAATATAAAATAAGAATAGTTATACCAGATATAGATCTTAGATATGATTATATATGAATATCATTAATCATTAGTTTGTAGCAATTACTCTTTATTCCAATATTATAATAATCCTCGCTCTATAATCATAACCTAGGAAAAACCAGGGTATACAGAGTTAGGAGCTGAGGAGACATAGCGAGAAGCAACCAGAAAAGAGTGCGAGCCTTCTGTTATGCCCGGACAGGTCCATCAGAGGGCTCCTTGGTCTAGCGGTAGTGTTAGCGTCAAGGAAAAACACCTGCTACTTAGCGGACCGGGAAAAGGAGTCTCCCTTTCCCTGGGGGAGTTTAGAGAAGACTGTACTCCTCCACCTCTTGTGGAAGGCCTGACATCATTCAGGCCCGCCCGCGGTTATCCGGAGGCCTAACCGTCTCCCTGTGATGCTGTGCTTCAGTGGTCACGCTCCTAGTCCACCTTCATGTTCCATCTTGTACACCTGGCTCTGCCGTTTAGTTAGCAGTAGCAAATTAGTGAAAGTACTAAAAGTCTCTGATAAGCAGAATAATAGTGTAAGCTGTTTCTCTTTCTCCTCTCTCTCTCTGCCTCGGCTGCCAGGCAGGAAAGGGCCCCCTGTCCAGTGGACACATGACCCATGTGGCCTTACCTATCATTGGAGAAGGCTCACATGCCCTATCCTGCCCCTTTGTCTTGTATCCAATAAATATCAGCGCAGCCTGGCATTCGGGGCCACTACTGGTCTCTGTGTCTTGGTGGTAGTGGTTCCCCGGGCCCAGCTGTCTTTTCTTTTATCTCTTTGTCTTGTGTCTTTATTTCTATGCTCTCTCATCTCTGCACACGAGGAGAAAACCCACCAACCCTGTGGGTCTGGACCCTACACGTGGTCACTGTCTGGTGGTCTGCTGCCAGTGTGATCCACCACAGCTTTCTGAATCCTGGCAAAACCATTACATCTGAGAAGTATCTTCAGCAAATTGATGAGATGCACCAAAAACTGCAATGCCTGCACCTGGCATTGGTCAACAGAAAGGGCCCAATTCTTGTCCACAACAACATCTGACCGCAGGTTGCACAACCAATGCTTCAAAAGTTGAATAAATTGGGCTACAAACTTTTGCCTCATCTGCCATATTCACCTGACCTCTCATCAACCAACTACCACTTCTTCAAGCATCTTGTCAACTTTTTGCAGGGAAAATGCTTCCACAGCCAGCAAGATGCAGAAAATGCTTTCCAAGAGTTCACTGAATTCCAAAGCATAGATTTTTATGCTACAAGAATAAACAAACTTATTTCTCATTGGCAAAAAATGTGTTGATTGTAATGGTTCCTATTTTGATTAATAAAGATGTGCTTGAGCCTAGTTATGATTTAAAATTCACCAAAACTACAATTACTTTTGCGCCAACTTAATACCATCGAATCTACATTGCTTTGGCCAGTAAGGCCATTTTAATGATATTGATTCTTCCTATCCATGTGCATAGAATGTTTTTCTATTTGTTTTTGTCATCTCTGATTTCTTTGAGCAGTGTTTTGTAATTCCTGTTGTAGAGACCTTTCACTTCTCTGGTTAGCTGTATTCCTAGGTATTTGTTGTGTGTGGCAATTATGAATGGAATCATATTCCTGATTTGGCTCTTAGCTTGTATGTTTTTAGTGTATTGGAATGCCACTTTTTAATGTTGATTTTGTATTTTAAAACTGCTGAAGTTGTTTATCAGATCAAGCAGCTTTTGGGCAGAGACTATGGGGTTTTCTAGATATAGAATCATGTCATCTGCAAATAGGGATAGTTTGACTTTCTCTCTTCCTATTTGGATGTCTATTTCTTCCTTCTGCCTGATTGCCCTGACCAGGACTCCCAGTACTATGTTGAATAGGAGTGGCGAAAGAGGGTATCTTTGTCTTGTGCTGGTTTTCTTTTTATACTGGCTCTTCACAAGGCTATATATATTCTTTAGTTAAAAGTAGACATCTCGATGGACCAGTGACTATCACCCTATTAATCAGTCATGGGAGCACTGCCGTGCATTTGGTATTTTAACTTTCGGGTATGCTATCACATCACAGAAGGCCTGGTCCCCTCCCCATCACCTGCAGCCGGACCTGTCTTTGATTCCTACCAATCACCTATATTAATTGTGCCTAAATTCAATATTCCGACAGGGCATAACTACCCTAAGGTGCTAATTAATTCATGCTTGAAGGACATAACAGTAATTAACAGACAAACACATACAACCGCTCCCCTTATTGGACTTTTAAAATGAAAATCTGCAACACTCCCCTGCCCCATCTCTGACTTCATCAACCCAGGAAAAAAGACACCTTGCCAAACTTCAAAAACAAGTAAGCCTTAATTCAACTCTGCCAGAGCCCAAAATATTTGTATTTTAGCTTTGGGTATCCCCAACAGCTACCCCTCAACTAATGCAAATTTTTTTAGGAAACTAACCCCTCACCAATCTAATTCTACTTTTACAACAATTATATCTAACACGCACGCCCATCCATTACTAAGCCCATATCCTAAATTTACACACCCCGAAAGGCATCATCTGTCACCTTGTACTACACCAACCACTCGCGAGTACTAAAATCTACTCCACCAACTCCTGCTAACTCAACTTTAAATCCCTGAACCCTACAACTGTGCATATTGCCTGTATCTTCTTCTATACTCCAATTTTGCACTTAACATATATACAGTTAATGTAGCTTAATTATTTAAAGCAAGACACTGAAAATGTCTAGATGGGCTTATACAGCCCCATAAACAGACAGTCTTGGTCCTGGCCTTTCTATTAACTCTTAGTAAGATTACACATGCAAGCATCCCCATCCCAGTGAAAGTACATCTAAATCACCTTGATCAAAAGGAGTAAGTATCAGGCACGCACAAATGCAGCTCAAAACACGTTGCTCAGCCAAACTTCCACGGGAAACAACAGTGATAGACCTTTAGCAATAAACAAAAGTTTAACTAAACTATACTAATATCCAGGGTTGGTTAATTTCATGCCAGCCACCGCAGCCATACAATTAACCTGAGCTAATAGAACTCAGCATAAAGAGTGTTTTAGGTCTATCCTTAATAAAGCTAAGCTTCATCTCAGTTGTATAAAACCCGGGCTGAAATAAAATAAACTATGAAGGAGGCTTTAATACTTCTGAAGACACAATAGCTAAGACCCAAACTGGGATTAGATACCCCACTAGGCTTAGCCCTAAACTCCAATAGTTAAATCAACAAAACTATTCCCCAGAACACTACAAGCAATAGCTTAAAACTCAAAGGACTTGGCAGTGCTTTATATCCCTCTAGAGGAGCCTGTTCTATAATGGATAAACCCCAATTTACCTCACCACTTCTTGCTCAGCCTATATACCATCATCTTCAGCAAACCCTAGTAAAAGTCACAAAGTAAGCACAAGTATCTACATAAAAACATTAGGTCAAGGTGTAGCCCATGAGGCGGTAAGAAATGGGCTACATTTTCTACACCCAGAAAATCTCACAACCCTTATGAAATCTAAGGGCTCAAGGAGGATTCAGCAGTATATTAAGAGCAGAGTGCTTAATTGGATGAGGCCATAAAGCACACACACAATGCCCATCACCCTCCTCAAGTATCACTTTAGAGATTAGTTTAACTAAAATCCCTACATATTTATATAGAGGAGACAAGTCGTAACATGGTAAGTGTACTGGAAAGTGCACTTGGATGAACCAAGGTGTAGCTTAACACAAAGCATCTGTCTTACACCCAGATTTCACCATAATTTGACCACCTTGTGCCAACTCTAGCCCTAAACTTAACTAATAGTACTACCGAATAACCTTAATCAAACCATTTACCCAAACAAAAGTATAGGCGAAAGAAATTTTACCCAGGCGCAGTGGACGTAGTACTGCAAGGTAAAGATGAAAAAGTTAACCAAGAATAAAATAGCAAGGATAGACCCTTATACCTTCTGCGTAATGAATTAACTAGAAATAACTTTACACAGAGAACCAAAGCCAAGGCCCCCAAAACCAGACGAGCTACCCAAGAACAGCTAAAAGAACACACCCATCTATGTAGTAAAATAGTGGGGAGATTCATGAGTAGTGGTGATAAGCCTACTGAGCCTAGTGATAGCTGGTTGTCCAAGATAGAATCTTAGTTCAACTTTAAATTTACCTACAGAGCCACTTAATCCCCCTGTAAATTTAACTGTTAGTCTAAAGAGGGACAGCTCTTTAGACATTAGGAAACAACCTTCATGTAGAGAGTAAAAAACATTATCCCCATAGTTGGCCCGAAAGCAGCCATCAATTAAGAAAGCGTTCAAGCTCAACATCCAACCACTCTAAATTCTAATCACACCACTGAACTCCTAACACCACATTGGACTAATCTATTACTTTATAGATGCAATAATATTAATATAAGTAACATGAAATATTCTCCACTGCTTAAGCCTACATCAGACCAGAATAACCCACTGACAAATTAACAGCCTAATATTAATAAACAACTCAACAAATTTATTATTACCGATACTGTTAATCCAACACAGGCATGCTCTAAGGAAAGGTTAAAAAAAATTAAAAGGAACTCGGCAAATTTTACCCTGCCTGTTTACCAAAAACATCACCTCTAGCATTATTAGTATTAGAGGCACCACCTGCCAGTGACATATGTTCAACGGCCACAGTACCCTGACCATGCAAAGGTAGCATAATCACTTGTTCCTTAAATAGGGACTTGTATGAATGACCCCACGAGGGTTCAGCTGTCTCTTACTTCCAACCAGTGAAACTGACCTGCCTGTGAAGAGGCGAACATGAATAAATAAGATGAGAAGATCCTATGGAGCTTTAATTTATTAATGCAAACAAAGCTCAGATAAGCCCACAGGCCTTAAACTACTGTCCCTGCATTAAATATTTTGGTTGGGGTGACCTCGGAGCATAATTTAACCTCCGAGCAACCTATGCTAAGACTAAACAAGTTTAAGCGAATTACTATACATATATTGACCCAATAATTTGATCAACGGAACAAGTTACCCTAGGGATAACAGCGCAATCCTATTCTAGAGTCCATATTGACAATAGGGTTTACGACCTCGATGTTGGATCAGGACATCCTAATGGTGTAGCTGCTATCAAGGGTTCATTTGTTCAATGATTAAAGTCCTACGTGGTCTGAGTTCAGACCGGAGCAAGCCAGGTCTGGTACATGTGTATTTAAGTCCTCCACACCTCCCATCTATAAGTCTTTTTAAAACAAAGAAAATATGTTTGGTTAAGAGAAGGCTGGAAATGAGAGAGGGAGTTTTACTGGACAAAAAATGTATAGAGACTTATGTAACAATTATTATCTGATATTAATATCTGATGGTAATACATAATTGATTGAGAACTAGGGTGAAGTGACATAATCCCAAACATACATGGGAGAACGTTCGGGGAAATCAAAGCTGTTTTTCTTAATGGAATCTGAGTTCTGAGAAAGAAGACATGCAAAGGAGGATGCAAATATATGAAAATATATGAAATATTTGTTGTTTTAATTGTTAACACAAATTTATATACTCATATATTTGAGTCTAATTAGAATATTTAATAAGTTAAGTTTATGCCTGGAGTCCTAGTTTTAGTATTACAGGCAAAGAAGCAGAGTTAGAAGGAAGGAGGGGAATGAATTATGCATGCTGTATTTGAGGGCCTTTGGAACTTCCGAATGCTGGTAGAGTACACAGTTGGCACTCTGTATCAATGGGGTCCTCATTTGCAGATTTAGTCAACCTCAGATGAAAAATATATTTTAAAAATTACAAAATAACAACACAACAAAAAAAATACAAAATCTAAAACACTGAGGTATACCAACTATTTGCATGGCATTTACATTGTATTAGCTATTATAAGTAATCTAGAGTTGATTTAAAGTATACAGGAGGATGTGCCTAGGTTATATGCAAATACTGTGCCATTTTATATAAGAGATTTAAGCATCAGTGGATTTAAACTAATCCCCCATGAATACCGAGGGACCACTGGGTTGAGAACATGGTGCTGAAGCTCATAAAAAGCCCTTGCTGTGGGATTCTGACATAAGACACTGCATAAAAGCTCAACACACATGCCCTATAGTCAGTGTCCGTGATTCTCTGGAATCAAACTCTATTCTGTGAAAACAGGAACCGTGATGGTACAGGCTATTCTTGGCAATGGGAAATGAAACCTCAGAGGTAATCCTACTTCCATGTGGTGCAGAGCCCTGAGCTAGGAGATGTTTATCACTGTTTGGGAAACCAGAACCCTCAGCCTTTCTCCCTTCTGCCTCGCCTGAAGACAGGTGAGTCCTTTGCCATAATATGAAGTCTTAATTTAGCATTGCCACATTCTGGTTCCAGATCTTTCCCTCCTGGCTGAATATTAAGATTGCATTTTGTCTCTTGTCTTTCTTGGTATCTCTTCCCTATGCAAACTTCATGGACACTGGAAGGACTACAAAATCCTGAAAATCAAGAAACCTCCATTGAGAAAGGGGGTTTTACTAGAACAAAAATGTGTAGAGATATATACAAAAATTATATATAATAATGTCTGTCTCTGTAATTATTCACACTTAGCAATTCCCAGCACCTTCTCCAGAGGACTTCCCTAACTAAACAAGAAAGGTAGTCTTTGGGGAAAGTGTTTTCATCAATAAAAGACAAGCTATGTGTGAGTTATTCCTGCACTGGGCAGCAAGGAGTGGGTAGTTACCTCTGCCTTCGAGTACCCCTTCATTTGACTAGGACCTGAGACTCTCTCATATCTACTTCCAAGCCCAGGTTGAGCACTTCTTTTCTTTCCTTTCTTTAGTTGCTTCTACTGTGAGGTATAGATTTTACATCCAGTCACTGCTGAAGACTTTCATCAACTCATCACTCATCCTTCAGTCATCTCACACTGAGAACAACTGGGAGCCTCCCGTTTTCCTGTTTCTTTAACATTTGTCAGAATCTCCCCAAACCTCTAACACCTTTTTTTCAGCAGGGGGCAGTAAAATTCAATTTATTTTTTCTGTTCTCAGCACTTACTATTAAGACCAGATTTCATAGTAAAGTCTAAGGCCAAATCTCATTAATGATTTTAATGGTTACTTTTGTCTTAAAGGAGCCCCTGATAGGACAAGAGTATTTCAGGGTTTGGTAAATCAAAACTGTTATATTCCTTCGTGACACATGACAGAGGAAGAGTAAGCAGGGGCCCACATGTGTTACATGTAAATACATACAGACTTGAAGACATGGTGTTCAAATAGTAGAGATATAATAGTAAAAACCCAAAGCCTATGTCAGCATCATGTGAACAAAAATTTTAGTAAATACCAACTGTAGATCTTAGTGAACTAGGGCAAAGGAAGTGGACAACACTGGGAGAAATTCTGGGATTAATCTTTGTATCTCACAATCAAAACCAAAGACTTTTCTGTTAAGAAGAAATGGGGGAAAGGGCGGAGGGAGAATGGCACTTGGTTTAGACATTGTTTACTGCAGCAGCACCCAAACCATTTGTAGCAGTATTACCAAAGCATGTATTGGATTATATTTTCTGTTCTGTCATGATTGATAGTGCAATTAAAGGCAGATGGACTAAAATCATCCTAGGCAAAGGCTAAGTTGATAAAGCTGATAAAGCCTGAACACCAAGTCAGTGAAAAATGAGACTGAGAAAGTTATTATCACACAATAATAACACCATTCTGAGGACTCAGTGAATTCCAGTTACTGCTCCAAGCTCTTTACATGTGTCTATATAAATAGATTGCCCCGTTTAATGCTCACAAGTTCTCCTGCTCCTTGTCTGATCAAGCCACGCTGTTCACTGGTTCCCTCTTCTGCATGTTCTTCTCTCTTGGGTTTGCAGAGTTCATTCCTGTTCATCCTTCAGAACCCAACTCAAATGCCACTTCCTTTCCCAACCTTTTTAATTAGGTAAAATCTTGCTATTACAGGCACTCAAAGCTATGTAGTTTTTATGTTCATAGCTTACAAAACAGTTGCAATGGAATGTTTTGTAAGAATATTAAAGACTTGAGTTAAGATAAGCAAAGCATCAAGCCTACTTTGGATGAGGGAAGTCAACAAAAATATTACTCATTTGATGGGTTAAAAGGATATAGATGAAACTGTTTCAACAGGATGGCTGTGGGACCCAGGAAGTTTGCAGGGGCTGTGTCATCACACACACACAATGACATTATCAAGAGCCCATCCTGCTTCCCCACTACTGGGAGACATCCTCTCTAGCCCCAACTGTGCCATGACTATCAGGCTCCTCTGCTACGTGGGCTTTTATTTTCTGGGGGCAGGTAAGTCATAGACACAGTTCATTCCAAAATCTAGAAGGAATAATTCCTCTGTGTTGGGTTTGTGCCTGGCTCAGCATCAAAGTCCATCGTGAACTCTGTTACCAATTTTTGTCTCTTCCCATAGGCCTCATGGAAGCTGACATCTACCAGACCCCAAGATACCTTGTTATAGGGACAGGAAAGAAGATCACTCTGGAATGTTCTCAAACCATGGGCCATGACAAAATGTACTGGTATCAACAAGATCCAGGAATGGAACTACACCTCATCCACTATTCCTATGGAGTTAATTCCACAGAGAAGGGAGATCTTTCCTCTGAGTCAACAGTCTCCAGAATAAGGACGGAGCATTTTCCCCTGACCCTGGAGTCTGCCAGGCCCTCACATACCTCTCAGTACCTCTGTGCCAGCAGTGAATACACAGTGCTACATGGATACCGACACTCCGCACAGAAAGGGTCGCCTCTAATGTGAGGACATCTTGCCTCCAGAAACCTCATCTTAAACTACAGAAACCCCTACAAATCTTCCCAGACTCCTCAGCCTTGAGGGACCAGTGTGCTTTAAGTAACAGTCTGGACTAAAGACTATCTCTGGCTCAGTCTCTAACAAGCTGAGAAATGACCCAGCCCCACAGTCATCCTAGCTGACTTTTTCCTTGCATCTAGTTGTTGTTGTTCAATTGAGCTTGCACAAATTTTATCCTTCAAGATAAATGCGATAATATTTGACAGTTACCTTATGGCTAGCTGAAGAAAGTCTTTGTCAGCTAAGAAACAGGAAAAGGATCCTTTGACTTTCTACACAGGCTGTCTTTATCTCTGGTTCATGGTTTCTTCCTCATGTTAAACTTGTTCCTTCATACACAGCCACACAAAGTCCCTGCCCTTTCCTGACCCCAGTCCTGCACCTGACGGCTTCAGTTCCTCAATCTATGACTTTGAACTTAGAATAAAATTTTATTTTCACTTGAAATAAGTGATTAATGATTATTTTCACTAATATCCCTCTAAATAAATGTAATTTTAGCTATATCTGCATGAGGCCTAAGGAAAAGAAAAGGCTCCAACTTTGGCAAAGAATAGTCTTTAACAATGTCCCTGGATTCAGCCCTAAATCTCTTTGGAGACTACCCTTAGCATTGGAAGACTATCCCACGGCTAGGTGATTCTTCTGTCTTGGATATGCTGAATCTCAGGGAAGTGTTCTCTATCCACATGAGATCAGACCTGGGACCCTGAATAGATTTATTTTTCACAGAAGTATAGACTGCTGTGGGGCCCTGGGTGCTGAGCTCAGATGTGAAATCTCTGTTTTGAGGTTACCAAAAAGTAAAGTCACAGAGTCTCTGTCCTGGTTTTGCCTCCTTAAAAAGTAGCTTTAATATGTTAGAAAAGAATCTAGAAAACATCATACATATTTTATTATAAAAGTCATTTCTTGTTCATTCTTCTTTTCTGTTTGTTTTCTACGATACTAGCCATTCCTCACTCTTCTTTGTAGGCTCTTTCTATTCTCATTTTCCTTATTTTGACCTTATTTCTGGACTTTTTGTTCTTTTCCTCTTAACCTATACATACATCTTAGACAATATCATCCAATCTATTTCTTGAAGCATATGTCTCATTAGTTTCAAACTTATTCTCTAGCTGCCTACTAGATATTTCCACCTCTATATTTCATAGGCTCCTCAACTCAGCTTGTCCCCAACAGAGTTCATCATCCTCCCAATAGCATATCCTCTTTTGGAGACACCATCATCTTGGGAGGCTCATCTCCAATGGTCAGGTGTCCTTAGCAAACACCTAGAAGATTAACAACCCTCCTTACTGAACTCTTAGCCTCGTGCCTTACCCTTCTGGCCTTCTTGCAAAAGTGATATGCATCAGAGAGTTGGCCCTCTGTATTCATGAGTTCCACATCCCTGGATTCAACCAACCACAGATCAAAAATATTTTTTTCAAAAATCGTGTCTATACTGAACACATACAGACTTTTTTCGTTGTCACTATTCTAAACAATACAGTATAACAACTATTTACATAACATTGCATTGTATTTGGTACTATGAATTATTTACAGATGACTTAAAGTATATGGGAGTATATGCATAGATTATATGTAAATACTAAACCATTTTTTATCAGGGACTTGGGCATTTGTAGATTTTGTTATCCTTGGGAGGTCTTGGAACCAATTCACCAAGACACTGAGGGATAACTGTAGACAAATATGATCATGCTACTGGATCCCTTCACCATTTCTCCATGCTTCTCCCTCATATTCAAGATAAAATTTAAATTTCTTCACCTGGCTTAATGGTATTTTGTGATCTGGACTCCAGAAATTAGCTTATCTTGAACACCTTATCCTAGCTATTTTTCATCCTGGCAATCCTGAACTTCTGACCATTTTCTATAGTCCATGTTCTCTTACCCATCTGAGACCCTGTACCCACTGTCCCTCTATCTCTGAAGTCTGCACTTCTTGTCTACAGGGCTGACTCCTACTCCAGCATCTCATTAATCACTATGCTAACACAAGAAGTCTTCATCTGCTTCAGTTCTCAAAAGAAGTGAAAAGCAGACACTTCTCAAAAGAAGACATTTATGCAGCCAACAGACACATGAAAAAATGCTCATCATCACTGGTCATCAGAGAAATGCAAATCAAAACCACAATGAGATATCATCTCACACCAGTTAGAATGGCAATCATTAAAAAGTCAGGAAACAACAGATGCTGGAGAGGATGTGGAGAAATAGGAACAATTTTACATTGTTGGTGGGAATGTAAACTAGTTCAACAATTGTGGAAGACAGTGTGGCGATTCCTTAAGGATCTAGAACTGGAAATACCATGTGAACCAGTGATCCCATTACTGGGTATATACCCAAAGGATAACAAATCATGCTACTATAAAGACACATGCACACGTATGTTTATTGCAGCACTATTTACAATAGCAAAGACTTGGAACCAACCCAAATGTCCATCAATAATAGACTGGATTAAGAAAATGTGGCACAGATACACCATGGAATACTATGCAGCAATAAAAAAGGATGAGTTCATGTCCTTTGTAGGGACATGGATGTAGCTGGAAACCATCATTCTGAGCAAACTATCACAAGGACAGAAAACCAAACACCATATGTTCTCACTCATAGGTGGGAACTGAACAATAAGAACACTTGGACACAGGGCGGGGAACATCACACACTGGGGCCTGTCGTGGGGTGGGGGGAGTGGGGAGGGATAGCATTAAGAGAAATACCTAATGTAAATGATGAGTTAATGGGTGCAGAAAACCAACATGGCACATGTATACATATGTAATAAACTTGCATGTTGTGCATATGTACCCTAGAACTTAAAGTATAATAATAAAATAAAAATAAATAAATATTTGTGAAGTTATAAACTTTTATTTGCAAGGTATCTAGAAGTGGAATTACTGAGTCATAGGGTAAGGGTATAATAAATTAAAAACAAAAACAAAACTTGTAAAATGTTTTCAGAATTGGCTATTTCATTTTACATTTCTGTCATCAATGTGTGAGGTTCCAGTTTTTTCACATCCTCTCCAACTCTTGGTCTTTTTTAATAATCATGATTCTGGAAAATGTGTAGTGTCATCTCACTGTGGTTTTTAAATTTTGTTTCTCTAATAACTAATGATATTGAGCATCTTTTTGTTTGCTTATTGGTTATTCCTATATGACCTCTGATGACGTACCTATTCAAATCCTTTACTCATTTTAATTGGATGGTTTGTCTTTTTATTTACTGAGTTTTAACTGTCCCTTATCAGACGTATGACTTTCAAAACTTTTTTTCCTGCTCTGTGATTTGTCTTCTCATTTTCTTAACAGGTGACTTTGAAGATAAACCATTTTTTATTTTGATGAGGTCCAATTTTTCAATTTATCTTTTTTGAATTATGCTTTTCCTGTTACTTCTAAGAAATAACTAAGCCAAAGTCATAATTTTTTTTCTGTCTTCTTCTAGAAGTTTCATAGTCTTTTGGCTGGGTGTGGTGGCTCAAGCCTGTAATCCCAGCACTTTGGGAGGCTGAGGAGGGTGAATCACAAGGTCAGGAGATCGAGACCATCCTGGCTAACATGGTGAAACCCTGTCTCTACTAAAGATACCACAAAAATTAGCCCGGCGTGGTGGCGGGTGCCTGTAGTCCCAGCTACTGGGAAGGCTGAGGCAGGAGAATGGTGTGAACCTGGCAGGCGGAGCTTGTAGTGAGCCCAGATGGTGCCACTGCACTCCAGCCTGGGTGACAGAGCAAGACTCTGTCTCAAAAAAAAAAAAAAAAAAGAAGTTTCATAGTTTTTGCTCTTATATTTGGTGTACACCATGTTCTGAGTTAATTTTGGGGTATGGTGTGAGGTAATGATCCAAGATCATTATTAATAGTATTAGTATTTTTGCATAGTGTAATTTCTGTACTATCTGTTGAAAATATTATTTCATCATTAAACTGACTTTACACCATATTCAAAAATGAGTTAACCATAGTGGATGGGTTTATTTCTGATCTTTGTTGATCTTATGTTAATACCACACTCTGTTGATTATTACAGCTTTATCGTATGTTTTTAAATTGGCTAGTGTAAGTCTTTTAACTGTGTTTTTCTTTTTCAAAATTGCCTTGACTATTCAAGTCCTGTGTATCACCATATAGGTTTAGGATCAGCTAGTCAATCTCTACAAAAGGTACTACTAGAATTTTGAGAAGGATTGCTGTGTACTTATTGATAAATTTGGAGATAATTTCTATCTTAACAATACTGAGTCTTCCATGATCACGGAATGCTTTTTCCATTCCTCTAGATCTTTTAAAATTTATCTCAACACTTTATATTTTTTCCATGTATAGATCTTACATTTCTGTTGTTTAATATATTGCAAAGTGCTATTTTCTATAATGTAAGTATAAAACTATTTTTCTTAATTTCAGTTTTGGATTATTACTAGTATTAGAACACATATGATTTTTGCTATACATACTGTATCCTGAAATCTTGCTAAATGGATTTGTTCTAGAAGTTTCTTTGTAGATTTCATAGGAGTTTTTTTTTTTTTTTTTTTTTACATACAGGATCATGTAGTCTGAGATTAAAAAGAATTTTACTTTTTCCTTTCCAACCTGGATACCTTTTATTGCAATTTCTTATCTGACTGTACTGTCTGACATCTCCAGTGCAATGTTGAATAAAAGTAGTGAAAACAGACATTGTTACTTTGCTACCAATATTATAGGCAAAGCATTCAATCTCTTCAAGCTTTCATGTTTAAGGTGAGTGTTTATTTCTTTCATGCTGTTAGTCAGGATGAGAGAGTTCAATCTGTTCATAATTTGTTGAGATTTTATTATGATTGGGTACAGGTTATTTTGTCAAATTTATTTTATTGCACACATTGAGATAATAATCTGATATGTTTTTATTCTATTAATATGGTATATTACATTAGTTGATTTTGGATGTCAAGGCAATCTTGCATTGGCGGGATAAATCCCACTTGGTCATAGTATATAATCTTTTCATATATGGCTAAATGAGGTTTGCTAATATTTTATGGAGACCATAGACATACTAGTTTGTAGTTTTCTTGTGATTTCTTTTTATTTAGAATCAAAGTAATTCTGACCTGTTAGGCTGAATTAGGAAATTGTGGACTGAACTTGGATGAATTTAGGAATAATCTCTTATTCTTTATTTTGTGGAAGTTTTTTCTTGTAGGAGTGGTATTATTTAAATATTTGATGGAATTTACCAGTAAAGTCAGCTAGTCCTGAGCTTGTCTCTGTGACATGGAGTGACAAACTATTGCTCACATGTTAAAGTCAAGCTATGGCCTATATTTGTATTACTCATAAACTAAGAATAAATTTTATACTTTTAAAGTGTTAGAAGACGGAAGAGGAGGAATAGGAGAAAAAGAACTGACAGAGGTTGCATATGGCCCAAAATATTTACTATCTAGCTCCTTACTGAAAAATTTTGCTGACCTCTGCTCTATATGGTGTTATTTACTAAAATACTTCTTTACTTGTAATATGTCTATCCAGACATGTGGCTTTTTTTCTTGAGTTACTCTTATGTCTTTCTAGGAATATGTCTGCTTCACCCAAGTTGTCAAATTCATTGACATAGTGTTGTTCATAACATTTCCATATATTTCTATAGGGTTAGTAATTGTATTCTTCATTTTCACTCCTGACTTTGCAATTTCTATTTTCTTGCTTTTTATCTTGTTCAGTCTGACTAAAGTGTTATCAATTTTATAGCATTTCAAGTAAACAGTTGTAGTTCCATTGATTTTCTCTATTATTTTTCTATTATCTATTGAATTGATTTTTAATTTGATCTTTTTTTTTTTTTTTTTTTTTTTGAGATGGAGTCTTACTCTTTCGCCCAAGCTGGAGTGCAGTGGTGCTATCTCGGCACACTGCAAGCTCCGTCTCCCAGGTTCACGCCATTCTCTTGCCTCAGCCTCCTGAGTAGCTGGGACTACAGGCACCCGCCACCACGCCCAGCTAATTTTTTGTATTTTTTCTTTTTTAGTAGAGACGGGGTTTCACCGTGTTAGCCAGGATGGTCTCTATCTCCTGACCTCGTGATCCGCCTGCCTCAGCCTCCCAAAGTGCTGGGATTACAGGCACAAGCCACTGCGCCCGGCCTAATTTGATCTTTGTTATTTCTTCCTTATGTTTACTTTTGGTTGACTTTTCTCTTATTTTTCCAGTGTCTTCAGGTAGAAGTTTAGATTATGATGGAAACTTTTGTAGTTGTTTTCCTAATGCAGTTATTTAAAGTTATACATTTCCCTCTAATCATGGCTGCATTCCATGTACATTGATATATTTTTAGTTTTTTAGTTAAAAGCATAATTTTTCTAGAAATTCCTTTTGAAGCCCATGAGTTATTTAGGAGTGTGATGTTTAATTTCCAAATATTTGTGATTTTTCCAGCTTCTTTCTGTTGTTTATTTCTAATTAAATCCCTCTGTGATGAGAGAATATACTTTGAATTATTTTAATCCTCCTATCTGTATGTTATTATATAACATATAATCTATATGGGGAAATACTCTATGAGCACTTGAAAAAGTGTACATTCTGCTGTTGCTGAATAGTGTGTTCTAAAATCATCAATTAAGTCAAATAGTTTAGTAGTGTTTTTCAGGTCTTTTTACCCTTATTTACTTTCTGTCTAGTTGGTGTGGTCAATTTTTCAGACTGGAGGATTTAAGTCACCAACTATAATTTTGGTATGTTTATTTTTGTTTCATTTCTGTCATTTTTACTTTATGTACTTTGGGACTCTGTTGTTAGGCCCCAGGAGTTACTCCACAATGCTGTACAGGCAAATGCTTTCTATACTAAAAGTAACTAAACTTAGAGATTTGTGAGTACCATCAAGCATACCCATATATGTAAAATTGGAGTCTTAGAAAGAGAGAAGTGAGAGAAAGACAAAGAAAAAATAATGGCCACAAACTTCTCAAATTTGTTGAAAAACATTAATCGAAAGAATCTAGAAGCTTAACATCTCTCAAACACAGTAAACACAAAGATATCTATGTCTAGCTACATTATAGTTAAACTTCAGAAAGCCAAAATCCACAAATAATGTATTGAAATCAATATATTTTTTCAACAAGAGAAAAATGACTCATCATTTGAAAGAGAAGAGCAATACAATTAATCTGACTTTAAATCAGAAGTCATTGTTTCTGACTTTAAATCAGAAACAATGGAGATCAGAAGATAATGGAGAGGCACTGAAAGAAAAAAATTCCACCAAAAATTCTATATCCAGCAAAACTATCCTCTGTAAATGAAAATGAAATAAAGACATTCCCAGATAAACAAAGGCTACAGAATTGTGTGGTTAGCAGACCTGTCTTACAAGAAATATTAAAGGAAGTCATCCAGCTGAGAGAAAATGACATTGTTAGCAACTAAAATCCATAGTAAGAAATTAAAAGCACCTTAAAGGATAAATATATGTGTGAATAAATATAAAAAATACATATGCACAAACACACATAGAAGGAATATATATTTTGTATATTTTTTATATCATTTGATATACATATATAGGTTGAAACTTTAATCATTATGAAGTGTTTTTCTGTAATAATATTTTTTGCTTTAAAATTTATTTCTCTGATATTAATATAGCCACTCAAGCTTTTATGGTTACTAATATGACATATGCTTTTCCATACTTTACTTTCAATATATTTGTGTCTTTAAAACTAAAGTGATTTCCCATAGTCAGAAAATAGTTGGATTTTGGTCTTTCTATTTTACAACATAAAATCAACTCAAAATAAATTAAAGACATAAGCATAAGACCTGAAATTTTTAAAATACTATTAGAAAACATAGGGGAAAAGCTTCTTAATACTGGTCTTGGTAAACAATTTTTAGATATTACTGCAAAAGCATAGGCAACAAAAACCAAATTAGACAAGTGGGATTACATCAAACTAAAAAGTTTCTGCACAGGAAAGGAAAGGAAAGGAAAGGAAAGGAAATAATCAACAGAATAAAAAGGCAAGCTACAAAATGGGAGAAAATATTTGCAAACCACATGTCTGAAAAAGGATTAATATCCAAAATATATAAGAAATTCACACTCATTAGCAAGAAAACAACCCAATTAACATATGGCCAAATGACCTGAATAGACATTTCTCAAGAGAAAGCATACAAATGAATAAATGTTTATCATTGCTAATTATCAGAGAAATATAAATTAAAGCCACAATGAGATATCACTTCACAACTGATACACTGGCTAACACTACAAAGACAAAAGATAACAAGCATTGATAAGGATGTGCAGAAAAGGGAATCATGTACATTGTTGGCAGAAATGTGTGATGGTTAATATTGAGTGTCAACTTGGTTGGATTAAGGATGCAAAGTATTGTTCCTGGGTGTGTCTGTGATGGTGTTGCCAAAGGAGATTAACATTTGAATCAGTGGACTGGGAAAGGCAGACCACCCTCAATATGGGTGGGTACAATCTAATCAGCTGCCAGCATGGCTAGAATAAAAGCAGACAGAAGAATGTGGAAGGACTAGACTGTCTAAATCTTCTGGCTTTCATCTTTCTCCCATGCTGGATGCTTCCTGCTCTCAAACATCGGATTCCAAGTTCTTCAGTTTTTAGACTCTTGGACTTAAACTAGTGATTTGCCAGGGGCTCTTGGGCCTTCGGCCACAGACTGAAGACTACACTCTCAACTTCCCTACTTTTGATGTTTTGGGACTCAGACTGGCTTCCTGGCTCCTCGGATGGCAGAAGACCTATTATGGGACTTTACCTCGTGTTTGTATGAGTAAATACCCTTTAATAAACTCCTCTTCATCTATCCTATTAGTTCTGCCCCTTTAGAGAACCCTGACCTAATACAGAATGTAAATTAGTACAGCCATTTTGACAAACAGTATGGAGGTTCCTCAGAAAATTAAAAATAGAACTATCATATAATCTAGCAATTCCAGTTCTAGATATAAATCCAAAGGATATGAAATCTGTATGTTGAATAAATATATGTACTCTTGTGTTCCTTGAAGCATTATTCACATAGCCAAAATACAGAATTAACCTAGGTTTCCACCAAGGGATGACTAGATGAAGAATATATGATATAAATTCTGTATATGTATATATAAATATATATATTATTTATACGTATATGTGTATACATACACACATACACACACACACACAATGGAATAATACTCAACCCTACAGAAAAAGGCAATCATATAATTTGCAACAACATGTTTGGACCTGGAGACATTATGCTAAGTGAAATAATTCAGGCACAGAAAAACAAATAATGCATGGTCTCACTTATTCATGGAATCCAACAAAGTCAAACCCACAGAAGCAGAGAGTAGAAGGGTAATTGCCAAGCACTGGGATGGGGTTTCAGGAAGGGAGGCATAGGAAATAGGGAAATGTTGGTCAAAAGGTACATGTTTTAATCAGACAGAAAGAAGTTCTAGAGACCTAATATGCAGCATGATTACTATAGTTAATAATATATGTACTCTTGAAAATTGCTAAGAATGTAGATTTTAAATGTTCCTACCAAAAAAAAGTCAAAACAAAATAAGTATGTGAGATTATGCATATGTTAGCTTGATTTAATTATTCCACAATGTATACATATATTAAAATGTCACAATATCACATTGTATACAATAAATATATATAATTTCTATTTGTCAATTTTAAATAAATAATAAAGAAATGAGATAGCTTTCAACTAAGCTTATATAGCAGTATAATATAAAAATTTTTGTAGTAACAAAATTATAGTAATTTTGGCTTATACTGAAATGTGCATTAAACAAGTGTTTGCATAAAATATAATTCAAATTACTATTCATAGCCCACAGCCATGAAAACATGTGTGCCTTACTCTTGGTACAGAAACAAATAGCTTTTACTCCTAAGGAAAAAAGAAAATTCCTGCCTTTTGATGAGAATTGTTTGAGTTTTATACTTATTTTATGGGGAACTTTGCTGACCTCTTCATTCCACCATAGCTGGTTATTCCTCCCTTGCATGTACTTTTGTTTCCTGGGGGCAGTGAGTCTTGGAAACATTTGGGAAATTCTTATTCTGAGCTTGCCTGCCCACAGCCCAGGTTCCTTCCTGGAGTCTGCAGCACCAGGCTCTCTCCTTGGCTCTCTTTCTGTCTTCTGTCCCCTCAGCTCATAAACCCCAGCTCGTAGAAGCTGAAGCCACCTAGACTCTAAGACACCTGATTGCAGAGACAGGAAAGGAGTTCTCAAGATAAGTGCCAAGATTTCATACTGGTTTTCACAAGAATCAGGGTTGGAATTAGAGCCGACTCATTATTCAGTTAACATTGACATTGTTGATTAGAGACATATCCCTATTGAAAATATTTCCTGGCAAAAAATAGAAGTTCTCTTTGGCTCTGAAATCTGCAACTCCCTTTCAGATGTCCCTGTGTCCTTGTACCGTCACTCCACAGCACTGCACAGGCATGTGCTCACCTCACAAAATGGCAGTCTCAAAGGGAGGAGTGCCCACCCACAAGAGGCTCCACCCTATTCTGAGAAAGAACTTCTTTCAGAGGAGGAGAGAATAGAACTTTCCAGAACCTTTTACATGAGATTTTTTTTTTTGGGTAGGAAGTCTGACCTGAGCAGCAACCTTGCATCAGACTTCAAAAGGCAATATTTCCTATACCTCCTTGTGCTCTACTAGTGAGTACAGAAGTCGAGAAAATGTTCCTAAGTCTATGGCCAGTTCAAATAGTCTCATTTTCTATTTCTGAGATTAAATTATATGTATTAAGATCCTTACTCTGCCCTTTCAGGTTTATTGCTCCTCAGACAAGATATCCCCTCTTCAGGTCCCAAACACATTCATTGCAATGCCTTTCCTCATCCTTGTCCCAGTCCTGGCTCTCTAGCTTCTTGAGACAATAACCCACCCTAAGGTATGTTGTGACATGCATCTTCTGTGTCACTGGGATCCCTAAGTGGTACAAGCATTCACTCAATTGCTTTAGCTAGAGTCCCCAGAATATCTTCACCTCTTCTGTCACATTCTTCTTCCACATTGGTCCATAAACACATCTTTAACATTTCTGTTTATTAAAACCTCTCAAATTCAACCACTATTTTCTATCCCAACGAATACTGCCTTAGCTCAGGCAACCACTGTCTTCGATCTGAATTACTTCTTTGACCTGAATTACTTCAACTCCTACCAAATATCCACCTACCTGATGTCTTACTCTCTTTTCTAACTCAGTTCATTCTCTGCAGCTGAAAACACTTCCTTTCCATTGACTTTAGGGTTATGACCAGTCTTCTTTATATCTAAATGTTAGCCTATAAGTTTTTTCGTAAAAAAAAAAAAAAAAACTTCCAAACTACAAATTCTTAAAACCCTCCATAATTTGGCCCTTGCATACCTATCCAGTCTTGTGAAATTCACCTACTCTTTACCCACTTTTTGCATACTTATGCTCTAATAATATTCATAATCCCTCAGCTCTCCCAAAGCTCCATATGTACTTTCTCACTCACTCCTGAGCCTTTACACATGCTGTTCACACTAGCTAGAATAATCTTTCTCTCCCTATTTATCTGTACTCCTAATCCTTCATGTTTAAATGGCATAATCATCATGGCTGAGTCTCTGACTATGCGTGGTAAATACCCCATGGTACCCAGAGCTTCTACAATCATAGAGTATCACACATTTCATTGTTTAACTTATTATGATAGTTTTTAAAATTATTAATACAAAATATGCTCAATGAGGCCAAGGACCATGTCCAAGGTTTTAATTTTTGTATCTTCAACAGTATTACAGGCTTTGAATAAAGTAGTTGCTCTTTAAATATTTATTGAACAAACCAGGGTTTTATCAGTTCTTGCTTCCCTAGCTAAGATATGATCTCAGTCATCTAAACATTTCTCTCTCAGAAGTATTGCTGCAGTTATTTAGAGATTTTCACATTGTGGTAGACTGAATAATAATCTCCCAAAATATTCAGATCTGAATCCTTGAAAATCTTGAATATGTTCTCTCACATTGCTGAAAGGATTTTGCAGATGTGATTAAGTTAAGGATCTTGAAATGGGGAGGTTTTCCTTGATTAGCTGAGTGGGCTCAATATCATCACATACTTTCCTAAAATATCTTACCTAAAACCACCTCTGTGAAGCCCTCTTTCTTTTCCCAGACAGATATGGAGGTTTCTTTCTTTATGTGTTTATAATAAATTAAACAAACTTCAACTTCTATCACTATGTTATGATATTTATGGTCATGTCTGACTCTTCCTAGACTAGTATGGTTTTTGAGGGATTGGACTATATATTCGCTTACCTTTGTAAATCCAGTATGTAGGACTTGGTACAATATATTGGATACAGAATTATAAGCCCGATGGGAGCAGACACCTTTATTTGTTGTTCATGCTTATATCCCAGAATCTAGTACTATGTCTGGTGCATGTAGTAAGAGTGAGGCAAGAGGATGCAAGTCAGAAAAAGGCTATGTGACAATGGAAGTAGAGATCGGAATGACAGACACACTTTGAAGATGGAGGAAGGGCCCTGAGCCCAGTAGTGCAGATGGCACCTAGAAGCTGGAAAAGGCAAAGAAATGGATTCTCCCATAAAGCCTACAAAAGGAACACTACCTGCCAACACCTTGATTTTTAGCCCCATAAGACTCATTTCAGACATTTATCCTGAACAGGACAGAAGCAAAAAAATGGAATCGATCAACATAAAAGCAGAAGTGAATAAGGTAGAAAATGTTTTAATGATAGAACTAAGAAATAAGCAAATGAGATAATTGTTTGCCAGCCAAAAGACAGAGAGGACAAATATACTAAAACAGAAGTGACAAAGGGAAGTATCATGATAAAATCTATTTTTAAAAACAATATTTTGTATAATTCTCTGCAAACAACCTAAAAGCCTAAATGAAATGGCTCACATTATAAATTTAGCAAAACTGACCCTAATGTGGAAAAAAGCCTAAACAAAACAATGACTACAAAAGAAATAAATGAATTTGTAATAGAATTTCCTCACAGAAAAGTGCCAGTCCCATATAGTTTCTTACAGGGATTTTTCCACACCTTTTAAAATCAGGGACTTTGAGAATACCTAAAACATTGCAAAGTATAGAACAGTAGGGGAAATTTCTAAATTATTTTCATGACATGAGCTAAATATTAAGGTGCAACAAAACTGCACCTTAAAAAAAAAATCAATCTATAGACTGGCCAGGCGTGGTGGCTCATGCCTGTAATCCCAACACTTTGGGAGGCTGAGGGTGGGGGTGGATCATGAGGTCAGGAGATCAATACCATCCCGGCTAACACAGTGAAACCCTGTCTCTACTAAAAATACAAAAAATTAGCCGGTTGTGGCAGCACGTGCCTGTAGTCCCAGCTACTTGGGAGGCTGAGGCAGGAGAATCGCTTGAACCTGGGAGGTGGAGGTTTCAGTGAGCCAAGATCATGCCACTGCACTCCAGCCTGGGCAACAGAGCGAGACTCCATCTTAAAAAAAAAAAAAAAAAAAAAAAAAAAAAAAAACTATAGACTTACATCACTGATTAGTATTGATAAAAAAGTATTCAATAACAGAGAATCAAATAATGACACTAGAAAATAATCTACAAATTGGTGTTTGCTCCAGGATGGTAAGGGTATTTCAATATTAGTAAACTTACTCTTAAAATCCATTATATTAGTCAATGGGTTTGGCCTGAGCACTGGGAAAGGGATGGGTAGGAAATACTGTCTCAGAAAGGCATTGAGAGAGAACACATCCTAATCCTATCTGGAAATTTACACTCCCCTTCAGCCATTCACGTCTCTTAACAATAGTCTCCAGCTTTACTGAACTCTTTGCAAACTCCAAAAATACCATATTCTCTTAGATATTGCATAGGCTGGTCCCCCAGCCTAGGTCTACCAGGAAATTATTTGTTTTCCTACAAATCTTACTTAAACCCACACTACCTCTGTGAAGTCCTTTCTTCCCACGGAGATATGGAGGTTTCTTTCCCTATGTGCTTACAACAATTTAAAGTCTGTTACTATATTATGGCTTTTTGGTCATGTCTGACTCCTTCTAGGCAAGTATGGTCTTTGAAAGATGGGACTGTAAATCTGTTTACCTCTGTAACTGCAGTAGTAGGACTAGGAATGATATATAGAATACAGAATCATAAGCCCCCATGGAAGAAGAGACCTTCTTTTTGTTGTTCATGCTTGTATCCCAGAGTCTAGTACTATGGTGCACATAGATGTATATTTGTTCAATAATATGAAAGACTCAAATATGCCTTTGTGGAATTGACCCTGCACTTATGCCTCACCATCTCCTACTTACCCCGGAATTATTTATTAACTATCTCATGTCTTAGGTCTCATCTCCCTTCCCTAGTTAAGAGTGGGCCCTGTTGCTAAGCAGGTCAAAATAGGAGGCTGATGAAGAAAATCTCTGTGGAAAATGCTGAAGAGGAACACAGGAATAAAAATACCTTTACTCTGATGATGCCTTATATAAGGACAGATGCAGTTGGTTTAAACTTCTACATTGGCTCATTTCTATGAATGCCACACCTCTCAATTTCAGGGACTTCCCGTGAGGGGCTTCACAACAATCTCTGGGCTCAGTGGGGAGCTACTCCCTTGGTGAATCTCCTCACTGCCACTCAATGAGCCATCAGGGTGGGCCGTCACCTCTGCTAAGCCACAGAGGTACACCACATCCTGCTCCTGAGAGGAAGGGAAAGACAGAGGATCATAGGAAGTAAACCCCTTGAGGAAATTTCAATGTGGAATTTATTCTGTTTCTTGAGTAGCATATATATTTTCCCCACCTCAGACCCTAACCTCAAGTGAACTTACTCCCAGACTCACACACATAAATATATGCACCAGCACCATCCCAGCAAGGAGGCAGCTGCAACAAAAAGAAGCAGGTGGGAGAGTATTATATTACATATTTAACTACAGGATCACTCCAAGAATTACATCCCCTAAAATTATTCCCTCCATTGGAAGCAGACTAGTAGCCAATAGGAAGAGAAATTGCTAAAACAAAAATGTGTTCAGTTGGATGAAGTATTTATTCAAAACAGAAATGTATTTATGAAGACATAATTCTTCAGAATTATATTATAAGCTAAAAATAAAATCCTATACCCACCAACTGACTGAAAGGACCATCTCTGGGACAAGGGCACCCCAGAGTAACCTTGAATGTTGAGTTCTTGGCCAGGACAGGATGGAGGGATCAGACACACCTTATTATACCTCTCCCTTAGAGCCATGATGAGGTTTGCTTCCCTAAAGGCTAAACACAAACCAGCCCTTTGAAAAGACTCTAGCACTAAAAGCAACAGAAAGTCTGATGCTGTCCCTCCTTTTTGCCTGGTAAAAGGCCACCAACCAAACAGTGTTTCTGGCCAGTCTATGGAGGACGTGTAGTGAGGCTTTTGGTGTCCTTTGCTTCACCTTTTGATGTCAGAGAGCTGAAAACTCCACCCCCAGATCATGCTAACATGGCCAGTTTTTTTTTACAGGAATCCCATGAAGGGGCAGGAAACTCAATTGTGGATGTATATGTTTTTCCCTTTATTAATATTCATGACTCCTCCTATAGCTTATTGAATATCTGTATTTGGCCATTCCACTCAGCATGTATTTCTTTTCCCTTTGCCTCTCCCTAGATGTGTGTTTCTGGCTTCTGGCCAGAGGCTGTGCTTCCCAGCCTGTCAGAATGGCCACACTGCAGGCTGCAACCCTTTATGAGAAATAAAGCTCTCCCTTCCAAATTTGAACCTCCTCATTCTTCCATTGACAGTATCAAAGATCAGATAGTTGTAGATGTGTGGTATTATTTCTGAGGGCTCTGTTCTGTTCCATTGGTCTATATCTCTGTTTTGGTACCAGTACCATGCTGTTTTGGTTACTGTAGCCTTGTGGTATAGTTTGAAGTCAGGTAGTGTGATGCCTCCAGCTTTGTTCTTTTGGCTTAGGATTAACTTGGCAATGCGGGCTCTTTTTTGGTTCCATATGAACCTTAAAGTAGTTTTTTCAAATTCTGTGAAGAAAGTCATTGGTAGCTTGATAGGGATGGCATTGAATCTATAAATTACCTTGGGCAGTATGGCCATTTTCACGATATTGATTCTTCCTATCCATGAGCATGGAATGTTCTTCCATTTGTTTGTGTCCTCCTTTATTTCATTGAGCAGTGTTTGGTAGTTCTCCTTGAAGAGGTCCTTCAACGTCCCTTGTAAGTTGGATTCCTAGGTATTTTATTCTCTTTGAAGCAATTGTGAATGGGAGTTCACTCATGATTTGGCTCTCTGTCCATTATTGGTGTATAAGAATGCTTGTGATTTTTGCACATTGATTATATCATCATTCTTCTAAGAAGATACCAATGAAGTTTCAAGGATGATTCAGCATGATAATGAACTGTTTGTAATCATTCAAGATATACTAAATGCTGAAGGAAGTCAGTTAGAAATAAGAAGTAGGACAACCAAAGGATAGAACCTAGAAGAAGACAAAGAAAGGATTTTACAGAAGCTGCTCATGAAAAGAGATCCACCAATTCTGAGATAAAAGAACTGGGTTTGAGTAAGCCACTTGTTATAAGCATGCTCAAGGTTTTCAGAAAAAAATAAACAGAGCTAGTCAATGATACCTGGTAATAAAAGATATTTTGAATTTCAGGCCATTGAGGGTAGCATGCTAAGTGTGGTTTTAGTTTTGGGAATTAGAGTAAAATGAAAATAATTTCTGAAGAAGTCTCCAGCCAAACTTTAAAAAGAAAAAAATGCAAGGTATAGAATATTTGAAAAATTTATTATTAATAGTTGAAAGTACATATTTTAGAACTGGACTGATCTGGTCACCGTCTAGTTTTGCCATGTTACTTAACCTCTCTAAAGGTAGTTTCCTAGCCTATAAAATGGAAATAGTCATACCTGGCTCTGAGAGGTTTTATTTAGTTGAGAAAATGTATGTAAATTGCCTGACACAATCCCTAGCCAAGAATAAGACTCAATAATAACTAATGGCGGTAGCAGTAAGAGTGCTACTACTAGCTGACCATTCTGAAAGTTGAGCCTGAGTGAGTGATAACTATACACTGTGCAGTTGTAACTTCTTAACACATTAATTCATGTAATCTTCACAGCAAATCCACAAGGTTCATACTTTTATTAGTACAACTTACAGAGAGTAAAACTGAAGCATTCACAGTTAACTTACTTGCGTAAAATGAGCTTAAGTAGCAGAACCCATATTTAAACTTAGGCACTCTCTCTCCAGAGCTTTCTTTGTTAGCCACTAACCTTGTGGTAGTGCAATCAAGTAAATGGGTTTGTTGTCTGATATGCTCAGAAGCCAATAAGCATGGCACCAGCTTTTGAGAAAAGAAAAGGTTTTACTGCAAAACTGGTCAGCAAGGAGAAATAAGCCGGCTCAAATCTGTCTTCCTGATTCGGGGTCTTGGACAAGTTTTAAGGGACTGAGAGCAAGGATTTAGTGATACTGGGTTGATAGGGTCTGATTGGAGGGTTTCAGATTTAACCATTTATGGTAAAGTAGGTTGAGGCAGATTTGAGCCCAGATCTTTCCAGCCAATGAACCCCTTGCTTCTGAAAGAGTTTCAGCCTCCAGATTCCAAGCATCTTCCTGTCTTCTTGGTTCCGAAGGGAGGAATCGTTCGTTCCAGGTGTTATTTGAGGTCAAAGCTTTTGGCTCTGTCGTACCTACAAGCTAACTCATATTTTGTTATCCACATAACAGACCCAGTTTGGGCTGATCCTGCAGTTACAAATCCCTCCCTTTTTGTTTACTTTAGTTCTCAATCTTGAAAAAATAGAGTGTCTACCACTCTAGCTACTTTTTGTTGACAAGGGACATAGGTCTGGGTTTGAGGAATGAAATTGTTTCATAAATAATTGCAAATATTCATAGGTCCTGAGTTGAGGTCAAACAGGTGGGTCAGGGAATTCGATATTTAATAACTATTTCATGAGCAGGGGGAATTGATTTAACAATCAATTTAAAAAATAGACAGCAGGTAGAGACCTTGAGAGAAGGAAGAGAAATCTTAACACATACAGAAATATAATTTTGAGTTTAAGTAGACCCTCAAAAAATAGATCTTATTCCTAATGAAAACACGCTGTTTACATATTATATCCAGGTTTTTTAGAGAACACTAGATGGCGTCGAGTGGCTTTTGGTCTATTATTTGGGTGGGTCTCAACTTTTTTAGAAGTATTAATGTAAACACAGCATGACATATTAAAGCATAAACACCTCTTTGTTTAGCCAGTATATAATCTAGAGTAATTTTATTATCTATTATTACTTTAGCCAAAGCACCTGGCTCTCTCTATTGAGCCACCATGGCCATTGTGGTCTCCTTGGCAAGCTTTTTCAGGGCAATGGAAAGGTTTTTAATCATATGTTTATAAGAAGCAACTCCCCACCATGGCAACAGAGTTTGTCTAAAGAAATATCCTACACCATCTGGTGGGCCACCTGGTAAATATTTAACTGGGAGGAGGTTTAGCATAGATCTTTTGGCCAAGGTGAACAGTTTTATGGTGTTAGTCTAATGCCCAGCATCACTAATGCCACAGACAGAGAAAGGAGTGACTAAGTACCCTAGTAAACAGATGTCTTTGGGGCATCAGCTGTCAAGGCATTCATAGTCCGAGGGCTGGTCGTTTGTTTCATAGACAAAGACATATCCTGAGGAGGCGCATAGAATACCAGATATGTTGCCGGGCGCGGTGGCTCATGCCTGTAATCCCAGCATTTTGGGAGGCCGAGGCGGGCAGATTATGAGGTCAGGGGATTGGGACCATCCTGGCCAACACGGTGAAACCCCATCTCCACTAAAAATACAAAGAATTAGCCAGGCATGGTGGCGGACACCTGTAGTCCTAGCCACTCGGGAGGCTGAGGCAGGAGAATGGCGTGAACCCGGGAGGTGGAGCTTGCAGTAAGCTGAGATCGCGCCACTGCACTCCAGCCTGGATGACAGAGCAAGACTCCATCTCAAAAAAAAAAAAAAAAAAATACCAGATATGTTAACATCTAAGTTCTCAGTTTCAGGAATTTTACTTAGGACTTGGTCAAAGTAGGAGTCAGAGTATAGAGGAGTCTAGAAGGAGTTATCTAACTTACAAATTGGTAGGGAAGAGGGCAGTCCTTGAAGGCATACTAGGTTCTTTTTATTTAACTCTTGATGTAATCATGTAGATCTACAGTTTGAGGACACATCAGTGTATATCTCCTGGACCAGAGGATAGAAAACAGGAAGTGGAAAATAGGTGTGTTAAGTAAAGAGATGATTTTCGTTTCTGCGTTAGCCAGTGTCTGGCTTCTGTGGGCATGGGCCCCTTTATCCTCAGTTTTAAAGCTGTTAACATAAGTGTCTTTGCAGGGGATGTTAATGGAAAACAGGGAACTAATGATCCTCCCCCAGCAAATCTGACCCTACAGGTTATACCTGTGGGTTTTTTATCATAGGTCACCAGAATATTAGGCACTTTAGAGAAGTTGGTCACAGAGATAAGCAGCAGATCAGTGTGATCAAGTGCAGAGGAGGGTTTTTGATGACATCTCTAACATTTAGATAGATTTTGTGAGGTAGGTAGGGATTGGGACATTTTTATCAAGAAATTATCTTTTTGGCCAGTCATGGTGGCTCATTCCTGTAATCCCAGCACTTTGGGAGGCTGAGGTGGGTGGATCACTTGAGGTCAGGAGTTTGAGACCAGCCTGGCCAACATGGTAAAACCCTGTCTCTACTAAAAATACAAAATTTAGCCAGATGTATTCACTTGAACTCAGGAGGCAGAGGTTGCAGTGAGCGAGATCATGCCACTGCATTGCAGCATGCACGACAGAGTGAGACTCTGTCTGAAAAAGAAAAAAAAAAAAGAAGGAAAGAAATTATCCTTTTATGTTGAGGTAAGGCAAGCAAAAGGATGTAATAGAGGAAAATTGTGGGCATTTTTAACAGAGGAAATCATTTTGTTTCCCTGAGAGGAGATATTTGGCTGATAGAAAAAAAAGCATCAGAAAAAAATAAACTCTACCCAAGGAAGGGCTATAAGGTCCCAAATAATATTTTTGAGGTTAAATCAAGGAGGTAGAGATGATTAATTCAATAGCATAGAATAGTATATATGACAACAAGGCAAAAATTAAGTTGCATTAATACAGGCCTCGCCCAATATCTTGGGCAAGCTGTCTCCTTTAATTGTCTCCTGTTTCTGCCCTCACAGTTCCATCAGATGGAGGCTGGTTTTAGAGACAGAAATGGATTTCCACTTATCTGGAGAGTTAGGAGCCCTTTTGGCCTTATTGGGTTTTTTAAAAAGTAACTTAAAAAAAGGTTAGGGGTTTCCAAGTGAGTTCCTGGGTGGAAAAGCTGGTTGTGGGCCTCCACAGCCATCTGGTAGACGGTCAGTCTGGTCCTTTGGCTTTTCTTATCTGTGAAGGGCATGACCTGTTTGGGAATTTTACAGGGGCCAAGAGGAATCTTCTGAAAATGGGAATAACTTTTACCCATGAATGATGAATTTAGGGCCTCAACACTTTTAACTTTATTGCTGAATGGATCACTAAAGGAACTTCATAAGGACCTAATCTGTTTGAACTGTAGTTGGTCTTCAGGGTAGCGGTTTTTCTAGGTCTTAAGTTGTACTTAGTTTCCTAGACTTAGACAATGTAAAGGAACATCTATAGGAAACATTAAAACAGCTAGAAGCGTAATTATGTATAGCAGAAAAAGTTATACCCAGAGACTGTACACATTTTATAGCATCTAATGCATTTACCCATCATGATCATTTTCAATATTAAAACAGTATTTAGTCTTAAGAAGGGTTGTCCCACATAGAATTTTGTAGGGGCTAAACTGGTGCTTACTTTTAGGGGTCATTCTTACTCTAAGCAGGGCAAGTGGCAAGATCTTATCCTATGTTAAATTGGGTTTTTGACACATTTTGGCAAGTACTTTTTTTAAGATATTGTTTATCTTTTCAGTCTTTCTAATAGACTGGAGCCTCTAAGAGGTGCTTAATTTCCCCTGTATCCTAAGAGCTCCATAAATGTCTTAGGTAAGTCTGATATCTCTGTTGTCACTTTGAATTGAAAATGACAATCCAAAGGAATTATGTCTTTTAATAAAGCTTGAGTTACCTCAGATGCATTTTTTGTTTGACATGGAAAGACCTTGACCCATCTAGTGAAGGTGTCTATAAGTACCGACAGGTATTTATAGTTTCCTCCAGCTCCTGGCATAACTACAAAGTCTATTTGACAATCTTGTCTTGTTTCTGTTCCTCAGGTTTAGACCCCTTTGCCTGCTGGAGGTGGTTCTGTCTTTGGATTCTCTGTAGCACAAATAAGACAATTTTGGGCAGCCTTCTGGATAGTCTTTTGTACGTGCAGCCTGACAACAAACTTTGGTAACTAATGATAGGTTGTGTTTCTTCTATAATGAGTTCTTTGATGTAACTGGGAAATAATCCTTTATCCAGTGCTCAGGGACAAGAACTATTCCTTGCTCATCGTAAACCTAGGCTTCTTGTTTTATACTGTTCCCTATCCAAATCTTGAGTATAAGTATGAAATCCCTACTGGTTTGCTCTTTCTAGATTTACCTTTGAGTACTGGGTTTAAATAAGGACAGATTCATACTTGGAATAAGTACCAGAGCCTTTGTTTTAGGCTCTCTTGTCCTGGCTGTATGTTTTTCTGCCTGATTGGCTAGATTATTGCATTTAGTTATCTAGCTATCAGTCTCTTGGTGTCCTGGGCCGTGCATTATGGCCATTTTTTTTGACATCAAAATTGAGTCTAATAAGTCTAATATCTCTCTTGTGTGTTTAATTTTATTTTTTATGAGATTAATGAGTCTGTCTTTTATATGGTCCCATTTGCGTGCACTACCAAAAAGACGTATTTGGAGTCTATATAAATGGTTACCTTTTCATTTGTCCTGAGGTGTGAAGCTTGTGTGACGGCAATAAGTTCTGCCTTTTGGGCAGAGAGAACTGATGGGAAAGCCTCAGCTTTTAACATTCTCTGGTAAGTCACTACTGCATATCTGGCTTTTCAGAGACCCTGATCCATGAAGCTGTTCACACTGGTAAACATTCCCAGGCCTGGGTATTTCAAAAACTGATTTGTCAAGCCAGACCTGTTTTTGTAGATCCTCTTTAGGGATTTCAGGCAATGGTCCTTCTTCTACCTGTAATAAGGCAACTTGGAGGGTGCAGTCTTGTTTAGGAGACACCTTAATATTTACTCATTCTGGTGAAAAATTACTGTGCATTTAATTTTGTTAGCAAGTCTTATCCCAACAAAGGTATTGAACATTCAGGCATATATAGGAAGCTATGTTTAAATAGGTTTAATAGGCTTTTCCTCTATGGCATTTGAGTGGCTGAAAGAAAGGTTTGCAAGGATGTTTCCCCAGATGCACCAGTAATAGCAGTGTTCTTTGGGAAGACAGGGACTTGTGTTGTGTTTGGAATAGAGTATGTAGCTCCATGGTCAACTAGAAAATCTATGCATCACTTTTGCACACCAATTGTCATCTGCACTTCTTGGTGGGAAATGTTTACAGAGCTAATAGAGTGTATAGAAGTCCCTGGGTCTCATCATTACTGGTTGCTATGAGTAAGCTGTGGCATGTGGTATGTTGATTTGTGGGGAGTTTTATCTTAAAAGACTATAGACAAGTATGTTATTAAAGTTTCCCATTTTGTATAGAGTTTTACCTGAAATGACTGGAATAAGATCCTGTAAAAAGGAGGTGTTCTGGTTCTGTGGTATTGTGATTATGGGGATTCCTCTTCAGAGAATCACCAATGGGCTAGATATTCCCTCTTATGTGTCTCAGAGGGTCCTAAACACCAGATGGTATTGGGCCGCTTGAGATGTTGGGGTTACCAAGGCCCCTTGTATGCTCCTCCTGGATGAGCTATTGAAGTTCTAACCCAGGAATGGGGTATGTTTTTCTGGTGGGGTTGCCTATAAAATCACTTTACATCATAAGCCAATTGCCTCAACACCTCTGCCAGACTCTTAGTCACTTAGGAATACCCTAAAAGGGCAGGAGAAAGCAATGTATTTCATCTTTGGAATCCAAGGACTTTCATTTAAATAAACTTCTAATGAGGTTCTTGTCACAACCATCAAAAATTTTAACCTCTGTTAGGATGAATAATTATGCAAACCAAAAACTCAGAAACACAAAGGAAAACCAAAACCAAGCCGAATTGAATACTCAAAAAGTTACAGCACCTTACTATTGTACTTATTTTTTTGGATGCTAACCCAAAGCCAGGACTGAAATAATCTAACCAGGACCTCCCTAGGGTAGGATTCAAACCCATGAAGCTGCACAAAAATAGGACTCTAATCTACAGTCCTAGACCAAAGACAATTTAAGGTGTAAGCACATATTAACAAGGTATTGACTCCAAAAGACATCTTATCCAGAAGCAATTTCTTCCCTCAAAAGAGAAAGTAGCACTCAAAGGGCCTGAAATGTCATGACAGAGAATAAGGACCTCACAGCTAAGCCTCTGGATAAACTGGTCTAGGTAGCACCACTCAGGGTCAGTGAAGAAACTTTAATTCCCACTGAGGGGCTACAGTGCCTTGGCAGGTGTTGGCCTCACATTGGGCACCTATATTTGTTATCAAACAAATGGGTTTGCACACAGAAGCCAATAACTATGGCACCAGCTTTTGAGAAAAGAAAAGGCTTTATTGAAACACCAGTCAGCAAAAAGAAAGGAGTGAGTTCAAATCTGTTTCCATGATTTGGGGTCTAGGGCAGGTTTTAAGGGATCAGAGAGCAAGGGAAAGGATTTAGGAATGTTGATATGGTAGGGTATGATTAGAAGGCTTCAAATATGACTATCTATGGTAAGATATGTTAAGAAACATTTTAGCCTGGGATCTTCTGGGCCAGTGGACCGCTCACTACTGAAAGAGGTCTGGCTTTCAGGTTCCAGTCATGTCTTGGTCTTCCTGTTTCTAAGGGGAGGAATCTTCGGTTCTGGGTATTGTTAGAGGTCAAAGCTTTTACTACTGCACATGCCTGGGCTACATGATTTGCAGTTATGTAGCTGTTGGCAGTGTGGGAGATGAGTGTTGTTTCTCTGGCCAGGAAATAAATGAAAAGTGCTGGTTATCAGGGACTAAATTCATCACAACACCAAGCAACATCCTGCTTTTGGTGCTGCCATGAGCAACAGGCTTCTCTGCTGTGTGATCATTTGTCTCCTAAGAGCAGGTGAGTCCTGGGCACAGGTAAGGAATCCCTATTACTGAATTCACAGGATCTAACTATAAAATGTTTCTTCATAAAACTCACATTAGTCTCCTCTTTCCCAGGCCCTGTCTCTATTTGATCATCCATTTTTCCCCCCAACAGGCCTCAAAGATGCTGTAGTTACACAATTCCCAAGACACAGAATCATTGGGACAGGAAAGGAATTCATTCTACAGTGTTCCCAGAATATGAATCATGTTACAATGTACTGGTATCGACAGGACCCAGGACTTGGACTGAAGCTGGTCTATTATTCACCTGGCACTGGGAGCACTGAAAAAGGAGATATCTCTGAGGGGTATCATGTTTCTTGAAATACTATAGCATCTTTTCCCCTGACCCTGAAGTCTGCCAGCACCAACCAGACATCTGTGTATCTCTATGCCAGCAGTTCATCCATAGCACTGCATAGCCATATCCTCTCCACACAAAAAAAGGTGCATACCAAAGAGGAAAAGCCTGCCCTCAAAATTCCTCACCCCGAATAAGAGAAGTTTCCTCACAAGTATTGACAAAAAGAGCCAAACTCTGTAAAATATTTGAAGAGATTTATTCTGAGCCAAACATGAGTGAGTGTGGCCAGAGGCAGAGGCTCAAGAGGGCGTAAGAACATGTGTCCAAGGTGCTCAGGCTACAGCTTGGTTTTTTGGAGACATCAGACATCAGTCAATACATGTAAGCTGTACATTGTTTCAATTTGGAAAGGTGGGACAACTCAAAGAGGGGGCTTCCAGGTCATAGGTGGATTCAGAGATTTTTCAGGCTGGCAGTTGGTTGAAAGAGTTAAGTTATCATCTAAAGATTTGAAATCAATATAAAGGAGTGTCTGAGTTGTGGGGACAAAGGTTCTTGTTATGCAGATGAAGCCTCCAGGGAGCAGGCTTCAGAGAGAAGAGATTGTGTTTCTTAATCAGACTTTTAAAAGGTGCCAGACTCATAATTCTCTCCTGGATCAGGGGAAAAAACCTGAAAAGGAAAGAATTATCTACAGAATGCAGATTTTCCTCATGATAGACAGCTTTGTAGGGCCATTTAAAAATATGTCAAAAAATATACTTTGGGGTAAAATATTTTGATTTTTTTCAGGGCCTGCTGTGAGTCATGTTGGTGTCTTATTGCTACAAAAGGTCTGTTTTGTCACTTGTAAGGTCTCCATTCTAATGTTAATGCTGGTTGGTTGTGCCTGAATTCTAAAGTGAAGAGGGTATAATGAGGCATGTCTGACCCCACTTCCCACTAAGACCTGAACTGGTTTTTCAGGTTAACTTTGGAATGCTCTTGGCCAAGAGAAGGGGTCCACACAGTTGGTTGTGGGGCTTGGGATTTTATTTTTGGTTTACACAAGATTATACCAAAGCCCTTCCCTAAATTTGATATGCCCTGCTTCCCTCTTTCCATTTTTGTCCTTCTAGGACATCTTTTTGGTTGTTATTAAACCCTTAGTTTCTTGTCAATATCCCACTAAACTACAGGGCATCAACATGATATGAACACTTATCTTGGTTTATTTGTGCTACTATAGCAAAATGACTGAGATTGGATAATTTGTAAACATAAATTTGTCACAATTCTGTAGGCTCGGAAGCCCAAGAACAAAGCACCTCAGTTCAATGTCTGGTGAGGGCCTTGGTCTCTGCTTCCGAGACGGCACCTTGAGTACTATGTCATCACACGAGAAAAGTGCCTAAGCTAGTTCCCCAGCCCTTTTATGAGTCACTAATTCATTCATGAGAGCAGAACCCTCATGACCTAATCACTTCTCACCTCTTAATACTGCCACAATGGGGATTACATTTCAAAATGAATTTTAGAAGAAACACATTCAAACCACAGCACATTTCTAGACAAACTTTCAGACACAGATATAGGGAAATTTTAATGAAATTGAATTTTACCAAGTAAAGACAAATAACCCAGATTTGCAAATACCCTTCAAAGATTCTTCAAAGCGATCTCAATGGTTAATCGTGTTGTTTAGGAAAATAAGAACAGTGGCAGCAAGACCTCCTCAGTGGTACAATGGCTTCAGCAGCAGTAAAAGAGGGTAGTAAACATTATGCAGACTTTGTGTGGGCTCAGGATCACCCACAGAGAAGAAGGTTATTTGCATGTATGTGTGTAACTGTGTGTGTTTAAGAGAAATGAACTATGTTTATTTACAGGGATTATTGAGGAGCAGAACCTCAGTTGGGTAGATGCAGGTATAACTTTTAAGATCAATATCCATGTCTTTGAATAGATAGGCTAGAGATACAGATTTACTGAGTAGTTCCCCAAAGATGCATGTTGGGTGATAACCACCTATACTAGTTTTCCAATTACTGCAAATTCAGCAGGTTAAAGTAACAATTGTCTTATCTCATAGTCCTGTATGTCTGAAGTCCAAGAAAAGTGGCTGGATTTTTCTCAGGGTCTCATAAGGCGGAAATCAAGGGGTCAGCTGTCTGCATTCTCATCAGGAGACTGGCTCCTCCTCCCAGATGATTCCTAGTATTGGTAGAATTTGGTTCCTTGTGACAGCAGGTCTAGGGTCTTCATTTTTTATTGGCTGTCACAGACAGCCAATGAGATTGGTCATTAGCTCCTTGCAGTTTCTTTCTGGTCCTCTTGATCTTCAAATGCACATCAAATCTGTCTCATGTTTAAAATCCCTCTGATACCCACTTCTGCTTCAAGACAGAAAACTCTGCATTTAAAGGGCTCTGGTGATTAGATTAGGCCAACCTGAATAGTATTTATTTTGTCAAATAATGTAACATAATCGCTGGAGTGACATCTCATTTTTAGGTTCCACTCATGCTCAAAGTGAAGGACATTATACATGGGCATGAGTCATTGGAGGTCATTCTTGGAATTCTGCCTATCATATCAATGGAGGTCAAATGCCAGGAAAGTCAAGAATAGAAATTCAGAGAGCATACAATCAAATACATTAAATTAGAATTCAAAACTATTCAAGAGATGGTTAAGAGTTTTGGCCATGCAGTGCATCAAATTTTCTTACTACTGCTTAATCAAGGACATAGTGCAGAAGTAGAATGAATTGGTCTTTATTAAAATGGAACAAAGACCAGGTCGAGGAAGGAAAGGCAAAAAGGTAGAATAGATTTGGCTCTTACTGGAAGAACACTGGAGATTAAAGACGAGAAACAGGATTGTTTTAGTCCCTGAGTTAACAAAAGAGAAGAAAGATGAAACCAGAACAGTTGCCAATGAAGGAGCAGTGAAGTGGAAAGGCAGAATGGAGTGAGTGTGGAGAGCACTTTTCTGAAGAGAATAAACTTAGTTGTCAGATGAAAAGAGATATATAATTAGCTTTGTCCTTATAAATTTTGAGGTAACTTACTATGGAAATACTTTTTCTTATCAGTTAATTAATTTGGGGAGAGGTAGCACAATCCTTTGAAATTCCAATAAGTAGAAAACTACTTATTGGAATTTCAATGACCTCAAGATGAAGCCTTGAAAAAGAAATGTCTGTTAGAATCCAGTTAACAGGAGAACACCTACTGTGACTATTATCAGCAAGTTGGTGAAAACTTCCTGAAGAAGAAATGTGGGATGATACAGAAACTAACTAAAGTCTCGGAACAGCAAATAGTTTCTCCTCTTGTGAATTAATTCACCTTCCACAATTAAGCAGAGATAACTCAGGGTACCTCAAATACTTATGAGCTTCACAGAAATGAATTGCTACCAAATTCCATTGATGGAGGAAGATAAGAAAATGATCAAAGAAAATGTACCTTCAGAGAAGAAGAATTGTTGAGAAGGTAGCAGTCCTTTCTCCTTTCTCTTTCCATGAGGTAGTTGCTATTCATTACTTTATGATGGGGACTGGGAACACAAGAATCACCACTCATGGATTAATGAATTCAAGATCTATACTTTCCATTTTGATTCCAAATTTGAACTTAAATTTATTCAGGACACCAACTGAACACTTCTACCTAAAGTTAAAACTCATATCATATTTCCCTCCCAAGATGCATTTCCTCTGAGTTCCTGACTTGACAGAGTCATTTGTTTGTACAATATATGAACACTGAGAGTCATGCCACATTTCTTTCTCTTTTGCCCTGGACATCCAATTTTTATGCAAGCACTTTCATTTCTAATTCCTAAATATCTTAGTTCTTTGTTTGCTATCTCAATCACTGCAACCACTGACATGTTTATGCCCATTTTACTAGCTTACCAAATAAATATAAAAGGTCTCATTAATCTCTCTAGTTCCTTATTAATCCTCATTTCATCTAATCTAGTATTATTAGTATACCCAAGTATAAACTTCCAAATTGCAAAGATCTGTTTCTATCACTCTTTCTGCAGCATCCTTCAGTGGCTCCCCCATGGTCTACAATATATACAATCTAAGTTTATTAAAATGAAAAAAATTATGACTATCCCTTTAATATTTTGAAAAAAGGAAAATTAGTCCTTTACCAGAAAAAAATAGCACTGTATTATAATGTCAAGTTCACACTAGAGTCTAGGATGGTATCAAAGAGCTCTATATTTTTCTTCTTGAGTCACTTTGATATCCTCCCACAGTAAGACCACTATAGTTGGTGTATTAGTCTGTTCTCACACTGCTATGAAGAAATACCCAAGACTGTGTAATTTATAAAGCAAAGAGGGTTAATTGATTCACAGTTCCACATTGCTGGGGAGGCATCAGAAAACTTACAATCATGGTGGAGGGCAAAAGAAGCAGACACCTTCTTCACAGGGTGGCAGGATGGAGTGAGTGCCAGCAGGGGAAATGCCAGATGCTTATAAAACCTTCAGATCTCGTGAGACTCACTCATTATCATGAGAACAGCATGGAGGAAACTGGTCCCACGATTTAATTACCTACACCTGGTGCCACACTTGACACCTGTGGATTATGGAGATTATAATTCAAGGTAAAATTTAGATGGGGACACAGAGCCAAACCATATCAGTTGGGTACTGAGGAGGACATACTGTATTAATCATGCCTTCTTATTGTCTGTATTTTCTAATGTTTTGACATCCATATTTTCTGATGTTTTGACATCTGAGGACTTGCTGATCTTGGAGGGACTGACCCTCTCAGTGTTAACTCATTCCTAGGGATAGCAAACTACTTTCCCTAGAGCATGCCTTTCATACCAAATCAACCAATCCAAAGCCTCTACTCCAAACCACCTCCTTTATTGGGCTCTCATACTCTAAGCCCCTATTCTCCTACCCTAATTACCACAGGGCCAGGTACTAAACAACTTGAGATAATCCCTACACTTTGGAGCCTGCTCAAATTTTTAAACTAGCCCATGCTAAGCCTACTTAGCCTGTGTACCCTGCCTCCCTCATTCGTTCAGTGAAAACCACAATAAAGGTTCTTGCCAATGTTTCCTGTCACTCCTTCTATCTTCTGACCCACTGTTGTGATTCTTATTGCTATGATTTTTTTCTAACTTGGTCTTGAGGTCTCTCTTTTTAGACTAGCCATAAACCAATATAGCCATTCTCTAGGAGACCTCTGACTCAGGGGAGGGGGAGTTAAATTCAGGTGTGAGTGTCAGGTGAGACACAGTGGAGGAAGTGAAAACAAAATGCATGAAAGGAAGAAATTTATTACTCACAGAACCCAAAGATGTTAGAGAGGCCTAAGAGAAGTGTGAAGATGGCAGGAGCTCATCCAGTTTGGGAGGGAAGGGAGGGTACAGGCAAAGGCAGAAGGAGGGGGTGGGTGAGGCCAGTGGAACTATTCCTTAGGCTTTCCTATGGGGGTTATGAGTCAGCTACTTTAAAGAAAACGTTTCAGAAGGAGAAAACTTACTTGCAGGACTCTAGCATTGGCCATTAGGCTTTATCATGGTCAGCAGCTCTGGAGTGTGCTGGGTTTTGGGTCAGGGGAATGAGAAATAGACCATATAGCCGACAACCACATAGGGAGAAGTTTTAACTGGGGCAACGACGACAGGGTATGACTGGGTTTCAAATAATTTGTTTCAGGCCTTAAAAAAAATTGGGGCCAGGCACAGTGGCTCACATCTGTAATCCTAGCACTTTAGGAGGCTGAGGCAGGTGGATCAGTTTGAGGTCAGGAGTTCTAGACCAGCCTGATCAACGTGGCGAAACCCCATCTCTACTAAAAATACAAAAATCAGCTAGGCATGGTGGTGCACACCTGTAATCCCAGCTACCTGGGAAGCCAAGGGAGGACAATCACTTGAACCTGGGAGGCAGAGGTTGCAGTGACCCAAGATCATGCCACTACACTCCAGCCTGGGTGACAGAGCAAGACTCCATCTCAAGAAAAACAAACAAACAAACAAACAAAAAACTGGGCCTGTATTGCCCTGCATAGTGTGTCATGCCCCTTTCTTCTTGGGAATCGTAGGTAACAAACTGTATTTTCAGTGGCAGCTGTCTCCTCATCCATTAGCTCTACCATACTTGAATAATAATAGCACTCATATTCTAAAACACTTGCTTCTTATGAGTAGGAAGAATGGGTCACTGCTTCAGAATCCCAGACATGTCCAGGAGGAGGTGAAAACCAAATGAGCAGATCATACCCAGCCTGATTGAAACACACACAATATAGTCAGCCCTTTGTCTCTATGTATTCACCAACTCTTCAAGTACACCTATGTATAGCATGCTGACAAACTCTGTCTTCTTCAATCTGCTAAATCATTTTCTACTTTCCTACATTGCTGTGGGCCAGGAGAGCCCTGGGTGTAGTGGAAAGTGGGGAGTGATTAAATCCATCTAGGAAGGAGATGGGTGGGTGAAAAAAAGTGTGTAACATATACAAAGGTTTCTATGATTACAAGCCTAATATGAAATCCAGTCACACCTACCACTCACAGTCCCACTTACTTTGCTCTAAGCCACACTGAACTCTATCTCCAAACATGCTGTGCATAGTATTTCCCTTACACAGCACACCTGCAAATTCCTTTCAAATATAACTTAAAACAATAGCACTACATGAAATGTGCCATTTTCCCAAGAAGATTGTAGACTCTTTCCCCTGTATTCTCCATAGCTTACACAATTCTCCCTTTCTGCAAATACCAAATTATCATGTTTATTGGTATAGTGATCTTACCATGGGCCTACAAAATCCATGTGGTCAAATGCCACGCCTTTCCATTATTCCTTCCCCAGAATCTTCTCCTATGCATGACATCCATGTTTAATGAATGATCAGACACAATTAATATGGGAACAGGGATGCTGACTTCTGTGTTTATGCCTCTATTCTCAGGGTCTGAAACAGCACCTGATATTTAACAGGTGTTCATTATGTGGCTGTTAAAAAAAAAAAATCAGCAATGTCTACAATGATTTGATCCTGGGTTTGCCTCTTCTCTCCTTCTTCCTCCAAAGTATATTTCTTAAATTTAACAACCCTTGCCTTCCTTTTCTGTCTAAGGGCTACTGGTAGGTAGGATAATGACTCCGAAAGGTGTCTATGTCCTAAACCTCAGAACCTGTAAATATGTTACCATACATAATAAAAGATAATTAAGTTTGTAGATAGTTTAGTGTGCTAATTAGCTAACCTTGAGGCAGGGAGATTATCCTGACTCATGCAGGTGGGCTCAGTATAAACACATAGGTACATAAAAGTGTATGGACTATGGTGAGAGTGATGTGACAACTTTACCTGCTGTTGCTGCTGAAGATAATGAAAGGGGCCACAAGTCAAGGAATGTGGGAGGCCTCTAGAAGCTAGAAGAGAAAAAAGAAAACATTCTCTCCTAGAGCCTCCAAAGAGCAAACTGCCAATGAGACCGACCCTGGACTTCCAACCAAAAGAACTGTAAGATAATAAGTTTGCGTTGTTTTAAGCCACTAATTTGCAGTAATAGGATACAGCAGTAAGAGAAAACTATTATAAGGCTCTATTTCCAAGCAGCTGAAAAAAGGCAGCTGATGAAAGAAGTCGTGCCGGGAAGTAGCCTAAGAGGCAAAAGTACAAAGGCAGGAGTTTGAATCAGACGATGCCACTTTTAAGGGTGGATTTTTCAGAGACATGTGAACCACAGCAACTCCATCTTAAATAGGAGCTGGGTAAAATAAGGTTGACACCTACTGGGCTGCATTCCCAGATGGTGAAGGCATTCTAAGTCACAGGATGAGATAGGAGGTCAGCACAAGATACGGGTCGTAAAGACCCTGCTGATGAAACAGGCTGTAGTAAAGACGCTGGCCAAAACCCACCGAAACCAAAATAGTCCCAAGAGTGACCTCTGGTCGTCCTCCCTGCTACACTCCCACCAGTGCTATGACACAAACGCCATGACATCAGGAAGTTACCCTGTATGTTCTAAAAAGGGGAAGCATGAATAATCCATCCCTTGTTTAGCATATAAAAGGATATAACCATAAAAATAGGCCACAAGCAGCCCTCAGGGCTACTCTATCTATAGAGAAGCTATTCTTTTATTCCTTTATTTTCCTAATAAACTTGCTTTCACTTTATGCTATGGACTCCCCCTGAATTCTTTCTTGCTTGAGATTCAAGAATCCTCTCTTGGGGTCTGGATAAGGAGCCTTTCCTGTAACAGCTTTCTGGTGATGATGAAGGGACTGTAGTGAGGAAACGCTGGAAAGAAAGGATAACTTTGGGTAAGTGTTGGGGTCCTGTAACATCTTCCTGGCAAACCCTGAAGGGATGATACTAAGAAGACCTCCCCCCAACCCAAGGAAATAGACTGCAGCACCGATTGGACAACTTTGGGTAAGTGGTGGAGTACCTACCCAGGTAAAGAATGGGATTGGGATAGAGGCTCAACTTAGGGGAGTTAGAGTCTCTCCTAAGACAGAGAGGGTTAAAGGCCCCTCTTAATAAAAGGCAAGGACACTTGAATGACCTTGGGTTAGAGGCCCGATTTAGGAGGATTAGAATCCCTTTCCAAGATTTAGGGGGTTAGTGGCCCTTCTTAGAAAGTCTGTCTTGGTAAAGTCCTTTCGGGCTAAGAACAGGTTTTGCACTACAGGATGTTAACTGCTATTCTCTTTGGATTAATCTGCCTTCAACTCCTTGCTGACAGCTGTGTGTAACAGGATTAGGCATGTACAGGATCATGGGACATGGGGAACTATTTTCTCCCTAAAACAGAAAACTTGAGAGCTGATGGGACTGCTGGAAAAGATCCTTCACAACCATCATGCGGCCACCTGAACCGTTCAGTGTCACTGCAATGGGTGGGTCTTTCTCTGGTGTCTCCGAGTGCCTCCCCTTCCCCACCCTGCCTCAGGCAGTGCTTTCTTCTTTCTCTCCTTCTCTCTGTCTCTCTCTTTTTCTCCTTGCAAACTGGTTGAATTAATGGTAAAAGTAACTGTCTCCTATAAAGTTTTGATTAATGGAAGAAAGGGTTTTTGAGGCTAGACTTAAGCTGTAGCAAATCTGATGTGCTTTGTGTGTTTTTCTGTATTATTCTGTCATAAAGAGGGGTACCTTATGATAGAACACTGGCTGAGGACACTTGTAAACTGCTTTTCAAGACAGACCAGCAAACTGGTCAGTTACAAACTTTGCTGCAGGTTCCTGAGAAAAATTGGATGAGATTTTTTTCTTGTCTTGCATGTCCTTGGGAGCTTGAAGCTGTAACCATGTGGCCATGTTTTCGCTTTTCACAATGGCATCCTGTGTTCAGGGTTCTATTCCTGCCTCAGGGGATGAGTTTTTTTATATTCCTATGTGTATGTATTTACATGTATTATGTGTATGTGATGTTTATTTCTAAAAGAGCATTGATTAATGGGTTTAATGAGAGCTTAAATCAAATATTTTGTCAGAAAAGTAAAAAGTGTAGTGCCTTTTAGTTCACGTGACTTTAATTTTCCAGAAATAAGGACAGTTTTGAAGATTATTGATAAAATAAAAATATCTTCAAAAATGTAAACATTTGGCTTAAATTAGGCAGGACACATATTAAGACTGCTAAATGCTTGAAGGTCATAAACTGCTTCTTTAACTTTTGAAAAATTTTCAATTAACCTACCTTGAAGCCATTAGATTCTAGATAAGACCTGGGGACATGTGGAGTTAGCCACGCCCCCTAGCTATGCTGGAGTCAGCCTTTATCTGCACTTCTGCCTGGTGTGTCCAAGGCTAGGCTCCACACCTAGTACATAATTAAAATCCTGAATTTAGCAACTTTTGGTGAAAAACCTTGGTAAGAGTCAACATTATAACATGTAATTGATACTACTGAAGAAACAGTTTTATATGCAAATTGTGTAAAGAAAGTGAAATGCATTTTTCATTAAAATTATATATATATATATATAAAGTCATGGGAATTTAGATTTTTGCCTAGATTAAAGCATTAAAGGATCGTTTCAAGTTAGGATGAAGCTGACTGTTCAAGAAAGCTGTGGAAGGCTTATGAAAAAAATAACCATAAAAGAGATTCTGTGTGCGAACATTGGCTAAAATTAAAGGGGTGTTATTCAGTTATTCTAGAAACTGAACATTGGAATAAAAGCACTATTCTACTCTTTAACAAAAACTTGTAAAGGGTTATAAAAGGTTTATAAAAACCTTACCTTATGGTCAACATGATTAAGATTGAATACATTTGTCTATAAGGTTTTACTAAGAATTGGGTTTGACATCAATAATGCATGAATACAGCAGTGACATTTGGCTTATTTAATATTACAGTCATACAAGAAGCATTATCAAATACAAAATGGCATTTGGTTTTTTTGGGCTGTATTTGTATAAATGTGTCATTGGTACATGTTCCAAAATTATTTTAAAAAAAACTTCTTTAACCCTGATATGACTTAGTGTATGCTATTAATAATTGTTAATTAAAATCATTGCATGCCACAGAGTCAACCACATTTTTCTAGTCAATTTTGGCTTTAATTGTGGCTGTTCTAAGACTTTTGGTCATCCAGACAATTGTCTCATATTAGTTCTCTGTAAAAGGTGGTTTAGAATTAAATGTAGGACTCTAGAAAACTGTGCTTTTAAATGCAGATTTTCTGATAAATTTGGACATTGTGACATCAGAACAGAGGAAAACCTTTCAGGACTCAGGGAGAGCTGAAATGTTCATGAATATCAAGCAGAACAGAAGTTAACTGCATGGACTAAACTAGCAAAAGTCTAACGTGTAAAATGTTTTCTCCCTAAAACAGAAAACTTGAGAGCTGATGGGACCGCTGGAAAAGATCCTTCACAAGCATCACGTGGCCACCTGAACTGTTCAGTGTCACTGCAACGGGTGGGTCTTTCTCTGGTGTCTCCGAGTGCCTCCTCTTCCCCACCCTGCCTCAGGCAATGCTTTCCTCTTTAACTTTTTGTGTAAAATGTTGCTGATCTTTTGTTTTGTGTTTCAGAGTCAAGGAAACTTTTGAGCTATTACAGCTTTTAGCAATTGAGTAAAGTATACATGTGTGAACAAAATTGAGAGCATATTTTTTTCTCTTTACTTGATTTCTCCAGATTTTGGAAACTCATTGTGAATAGTCTCAATTTATGGCAATATAGTTATTTGCATGAGTGTAATAAGAATCTGTTGGGTTTTTGTTTTGTTTTGTTTTATTATTATTATTATTATTATTTTTGATAACAAGACACAATTGGAGAAACTGGTTATTTTACCAAGACTTTGATGGAATGGTATACTCTAAGGAATCAAACTTGACTTGCCAAGTCAATAAAAGCCCCTTGGGGAACTGGCCTCAGACCTTTGATACAACAGTCCATGTACATGATTTCTGACCTGTGGTAAGTAAACAATGTCACCTTCTAACAGGTCCAGGAGCCCCAAGTTATCTTGGGACCCCAAGAGGAGAGGAATTTACTCAGCTCATAGGTATTTGAGGATACAAACCCATGGTAGGGCTCGGCTTAAAAAGAGTCTTATCTAAGATTCCTTCTAAGAAACAAAGTTCCATCAAAACCAGTGTTAAAAGTCTATGTGAAAAATAATTATTCTTGCTGTACTTTATATAAATAATCAGGCCAAGTATAATAAAACAAATTGGTCTTACCATGACTTATCTTTAGTGAAAATGGAAAACAGGAGAAAGAATATTACGTTTCAAGACCTATGTTACACTTGGTATTAAATTCTAGTCTCATCAGTTGTTGTTTGTTTATGCAGTTTAGGCTAACCCTGCTTATTCCTATGAACCAACCAGTGATCTTTGCCTGCTACTCTGAAAAAACAAGGCATTTTGGTAATGTAAAAATCTGGATTTCATTCTAATTCTGGGCATGTACTGGAATTGCCTAGCCACCTCATGTCAGCTTGGTTCCAGTAGTTTCCCAGTTCATGAAGAGCCTTCTAATTTAGTTTACTTGGGATACTTTTGCTTATTTTGTTATATTGCTGTTTTACTCTTTGTGTAGGAATGCAGACTAAGCTTACTAAATGTTTTCTTAAACCGAATACTTATTAATCTTTCAGATATCACCTTTCGTCAGGACTCAAGAGTTCTGAATGGCCTTCATCATACTGAAGCTTTCTGACTGAGCTCCTCTTTACCCTGAACACAAGAGACCATAATAGTCAGGCAGAAATATCATTGCCCCTATTCAGCCTGAAGAAGTTACAGAAGATGAATCTTTGTCCTTCTACAACCTTAGGATTAAGGGTTCTCTTATAAAAGGGAAGGAGGAAATGTCTAAGACATATGAACTAGAGCAACTTCATCCTGAATAGGAGCTGAGTAAAATAAGGCTGAAACCTACTGGGCTGCATCCTCAGACAGTTAAGGCATTCTAAGTCACAGGATGAGATAGGAGGTCAGCACAAGATACAGGTCCTTAAAACCTTGCTGATAAAACAGGTTGCAGAAAGAAGCCGGCTAAAACCCACCAAAACCAATATGGCCATGGGAGTGACTGCTGGTCGTCCTCACTGCTACACTCCCACCAGCACCATAATAGTTTACAAATGCCATAGTAACATCAGGATATAACCCCATATGGCCTAAAAAGGGGAGGCTTAAATAATGCACCCCTTGCTTAGCATATAATCAAGAAATAACCATAAAAATAGGCAACCAGCAGCCCTCAGGGCTGCTCTGTCTTTGGAGTAGCCATTCTCTTATTCCTCTTTCTTAATAAACTTGCTTTCACTTTACTCAGACTCCCCATGAATTCTTTCTTGCACAAGATCCAAGAACCCTCTCTTGAAGTCTGATTGGGACTTTTTCTTGTGACAGATTCTGCCAGTTTCTGTTCTTGGCAGGTTCCATTTCTACAAATTCCTCATCTCTACAGGTTTAGGATCAGAATGTTCCAGCAGGGAGCACTACAGCTGTTTCAATCTTCAGGGAGACTACTCATCTTGGGAATAATTCCTTCCTTTGTCCTGTCAGCATAATGTGTATGGACCCTGCTAAGCAGCACCCAGTCATGAAAGTGCTGCCACCGAGGAAGGTAAGGAGGTTATGACAAAAAACACAGAACGTGACCCTCTGAACAGCAGGAGAGTAGAAACCGTTCTTGTCATCAGAAATTTCAGAGAGGAAGCTCACTCACTGTCCAGCTTCCCTCCCACACAATGGAAGCATAAAAATGGAAACCCATTTTGCACAAGAAATTAGCACGTTGCCCCTCAAGAGAATTATATCCTATGTTTGTTTCTGTAGGAGTGTCTAAACAGTTAAAACCATGTACCATTCACAAAAATCTATACATAAAACATGAATGTTTAGAAAGTGAACACATATAGAATGATATTTGTTTCAATTTAAGATGCCAACCTGGATACAAGTACACATTCAGTTTGACTAAAATTGCTGTAATAATAATCTAAAAGCAAAACTAAAGAAGGGTAGAAAAAGGAAGGTAACAGATTCCTGCCATTGATAATGGAAATCATAGCATGTAAACAAAGCCAATCCTGCTTGGGAAGTTCACCCTGAGCCTGCAAGGAATGTGGGGAGGCAGCATGGGGCGCCTGGATGTTACAGGTAGTTAGTTAGGCATGAGTGGGGCAGGAGAGGGCTCCCTTCCCCCCACCGCCCAGAATGTCAGACAATCTGGTATTGATTCAGAGATTATAACGTTGCCTCTCTAATAATAATGCATAATTCAGCAGCCTGAGATAGGGAGGTACAATCTCTTGCTGATCCACAGCTGTTAACATTAAAGTGTCAATTGAATGCAGGCACCAAGGAGAAGCAAAGAAGGTTTCCAATAAAATCTCAGGTATTGGGCAGGTGAACCCAGGTATGTGCATTGAGAGACAAAAGGGTGGAGTACGACCTTCCAGGGACACTCCAACAGAAACAGGAAGAAAGCGTCAGATGGGCATGCATACAACTTCCTAAACACACTGCGCATGCTCACTTCCGAAGTGTAAGGAGGGCACTGTGCATTCGGGCAGCCTATCCTAAGGGGAGAATAATGAGAAAGGGGCACAAGATGGCCGCCTATGAAGCCCCAGGATCAAGGTTAAATGCCACACTTGCTCTTCAAGTCACCTGCTTGGATCTCTTCCAAGTGTTCTTTCTTTTCTTTCCTGTTCTAAAGCCTTTTTAATAAGCTTCTACTCCTGCTCTAAAACTTGTCTTGGTCTCTTTTTCTGCTCTATGACCCTCAGTGGAATTTTCTTCTGAGGAGGCAAGAACTGAGGTTGCTGCAGACCAGCAGGGATTCACTGCTGATAACTCAAGATACCTTCCACCAGTAACTTGGAGATGACACCAAGAGACAACACAGGCAAAGGAAAGTGTATTAATTCTGTTTTAGGTGTAGAAACTGGAGTGATTGGAAAATAATTCCTAAAAGAAATTGAAAAGTCAAATTGTCAAGCAGTAAGTTCACCATCACATTTACCATAAAGCATGTAGAGAAATGGAAATATTTACACATCATGGTTGAGAGTGCAGGATTTGCAGTCAGACAGTTTCTGGCACTTAGTAGCTTTAGAAAGTGACTTAAGCCCTCTAAGCCCTCAGTTTTCACATCTATAAAATGAAGTAAATAATATAAGCCTCTCAGAAGTGGGGTGAGGGTTGAATGAAACAATATGTGAGTAGTTTAACACAGAGACTGGCACTGACTTAAGAAAGTATTGTGATAAAAGCAGCAGTGGAGAAAATATTTTGAATAGCTGTATGCATGGCAATCCTTTAACCTCTTTATTCATGGCAACTCATTTAATTGCCACAACAAATATGTAAGGTAAGTACTTTTATTATTTCCATTGTTATGGACTGAGTTGTGCTACCTTCTTCATTTCATATGTTGATGTCCTAAGTCCCAGTGCCCCATAATGTGACTGACTATATTTGGAGATGGGGTCTTTACATCGATAATTAAGTTAAAATTAGGTCATTAGGGTGGGCCCTAATTCAATATGACTGGTGTCCTTATCAGGAGGTTAGGACACAGACATGCAAAGAGGGAAGACCAGAAAGAAGGTATAGAAAAAAAAAAATTGTTATCTACAAGCCAAGGAGAGAGGCCTCAGAAGAAACCAACTCAACAAATTTTAAAAGATGTATTTTGGAGAACAAAACTGTTAGAATATATTTAGAACAGAAAAAAACCATTTCTTCTAGAACTAAGTTGGTCTAAAAGTGCATATCTTGGTAAGGCTCTGTGAGGAAATGACCTAATCTGGAGAGAAGCTGCTGGGACACTCATCTGTGTGTGGCCTGTGGCTCACAGGGGCAGGTATTCTCAGAACGCACATGGGATAATCACCATCCTGGTGTGTCCAGGCTCTGGGAACAGGCTCTTCCTCGTGGCTTTCACATGAGTTTCCTGGTGGGCTATGTAGTCACTTTTCTGCATCCTTCTTTTAAAGGCTCATGAATGTCAAAGTAACACAGACCCTGAGATGAGGCAGGAAAGTTGTATCGGAATGTTTTCAGACTATCAACCAGACCAAACGTTCTGGAATCCATAAGATCCAGGGCTGGGGATAAATTTAATCTATTAATTATTCTTCTGAAGTTGGCAGCTTTGAAAAAGATGCCCTGAGTCAGCATAGTCATTCCAACCAAAAAGAAAAAAGGGAAAAAATAATCATCTTTCCCAACCCTTAAATCGTCCAGCACTAACCAGACTCTGAGACCCTCTGCAGCAGCAGCCTATCAGTGCAGCCACATCCTCTCTGAGCGGATATGACAAACCCCAGGGGTGAAGCGACCTAACCTATGAGCCGCCACACACACTCAAGATGCCCCAGACACCCTGCACTCCGATCTTACTCGTTCCTTTACTGTTTTCATCCTAATTGCCCTCTTACACATTTGACCACACATTTTTGGTCTTGGTGGTTGTATTAGTTTTCTGTTGCTACTATACAAATTGCCACCCATTTAGTGGCTTAAAACAATGCAAATGTATCACCTTACAGTTCCGTAGTTCAGAAACCAACATAGGTATCACCCAGCCAAAATCAAGGTGTCGGCAGATCTGGGTTCCTTTCTGAAGGCTCCAGGGGAGAATCGATTTTCTTACCTTATGGGTTGTTTTCCTCTATCTTCAAAGGCAGCACGTTCTGTTGCTCTGACCCTACTTGCGTACTCACAGCTCCCTCTAAACACTGCCGGGAAAGGCTCTCCACGTTTAAGGACCTGCGTGATTACATTGGACCCACCTGGGTAATCCACGAACTGCTTCCTATCTCAAGGTCGGCTGATTAGCAGCCCTAATTGCACCTGCAGCTTTAATTCCCATTTGCCATCTAACTGAACATCCACAGCTGTTACGGGTTGCAGGGATTATTAGCACCTGGACATCTTTAAGGAACCATTCAGCCCACCACTCCGATGTTCCACTAGAGGGCACTAACATATTCCTGTAATATAAACATTAAAATTCAGATAATGGTGGGAGGGAAAGTTTGATAAAATTGAATACTGTATTATCAATTTTAAAAACTTGATATATAAATATGTCTCATTGGGGTCTTTCAAAAGCTAATCATATAGTACAAGAAAATACATAAACTGGAGTGACTCTCAGAACTAAAATGGCCTGAGCGTAAGTGAAATAGAATTTGAAGTGAGGTGAGAATTCTGCAGTCTATTCCTGGGCTCAAAATCACATAGAAAAAAACAAAAAAAGGTTGCTTTATATTTAAAGGGACAAGGCGTAGGTTCTCTTACAGGGGTTTTTAGGAAATGGTTCATCAGTTTAGTAGGTGTTAGCTTAATTGCTTTTATCGGGATACTGTTGCCCCGGTTGGGTGGATGAGCAGTCCCTAAAAAGAGAAGGAAGAGAGCAAAGACCGAAAAAGTATGAAGGAGAGGAAGGGATGGCATGGCGTAGAATGAAATGCTTTTTCATCAAAATGCAAAGATGAAGGAGATGTTTCAGAGTGCCCGGCCGTCTAGAGGGTTCTGTTTACTTTCCATTCCCGCTGTTAGGGACATAGGAGTCTGCCCTACATTAGGGAAATGGAATAGAATAAGTTTCTAGAATTCCTAAATATGGTGGAATTGGGTAGAAAAGATCAGAGGGAAGGTTGTAGGGAGGAAGGGTGGGAAAGTAAAACAACTGGCTCCTACTGTAAGGCTATTGGAGCCTCAGGCTAACAGCATCATTTTAGTACCTTGGTTGAGGTAGAAAAGGAAACGAGAGCAGAATAGCCTCATAGTCAAAGGAACACAGAAGGAGAAACCACATTGCTGAGGAGAGTGAATTAGCTGGTAGAGGGACAGAATATAGAATTAGCTACCTCCTAAATCTTGAATTAATCTAATATGAAAAGACATTGGGAAAAATTATAATACTCTGAAGTGTAATTATGTACCTGTTCAACTTTGAAACACCACGGAATGTTGGGAAATCCAATATCCACTAATAGTGAGCTATGTGGACGCGAGTAAATTCTGAAAGATTTTGCTATTTGGATGTCAAGGTTTACTAAGTAACATGAAATTATTTACTTGCAGTGGGTTTTTAGAATGAAAGTTGTTTTCCCTCTCTTAAGAACACCCGAATTCACAGCTAGGATATGGAGGATTTGCCAGGAAAATGCAAACACCTGTGGCTGAAGTAGAGCCAAGCTCTCTCCCTACATTTTTTTCCAGAAAGCAGTGGTGAAGAAATAGAAAAAGAGAGAATACTCCTCTTAGATCAGAGCTAAGGTCCTGATAGCAATCACTCCTTTCTCAATGCATGGAATGGAAACTGTTAGAGCTGCACCTCTCACCATGAAGGGGTCTGGGGGCAAGGAACTCATCTCTGAGGTTTGAGAGTAGGCCTGAAAACCGGGAAGGGGGCTCCTTCTTGTCTGGAGATGATAATGATTTGGCAAAAACAATGACGGGCTCTGTGAGGCTCTACTTGTGGTAGGAAGCTTTTGGGAAGAAAGGGGTAGCCTCCTTCTATTCCACCATCCAGGAATACATTCGTTCCTACAAAGTACAAGAAGGATTCAAAGGTATACATGTGTCAAAAATCACAATGAGCACTGTAAATATATGCAATTTTTATTCATCAACTATACCTTAATTTTAAAAATTAAGAAAAGTTCAAAGGTGTTCGAGGAGGAAGGCATTCTGGGGAATCCTAGGAAAGTCACCTCAATGTAGGAAGAACATATTCAGGCAGAAAAGAGAGCAGTACCAGCAGCTGCTGGAAGATCTAAGAGAAGCTTGACACTCCTGGCCCCAAACACTGCCTGGCTACAACACGATATCCAGGGACAGATACCTTCCATGTACAGCAAGCTGTGGAGTGGCAAGAAAGCAAAGCACGTACCAAAAGCAGGCAGGAAGCAGAGCTGGCTGGTAAGGCTCTGAGGTTACTGCAGGAAGCAGGTGTTGCCTCTGCCTTTCACCAGCTTCTTCTGGAGAAGAACAGAGAAGGGGAAAAGAAGAAAGATGCTCCAGATACCATCTTTGGTGGAAACAGCTGCTAGCTCTAGCAATGATGACTAAGTCAATTTTGCTAAAGAGCAAAGAAGCTGTGTGTCTTGGATTTTAAACAGCAATAGACTAGCAAAATAATCTATGATGTGAATCTGAGATTTTACACCCTAGACTCTTTTAAAATGTAGTGACTAAAAATATATACCAGTGGATAAATGAAGTCAGGGATATACTTGAAATTTTTTCTGCCAGAGTAGAAATGACTTCAAAATATATGATAATGCAGCTTTCATGTAATCCCAGCTACTGGGGAGGCTGAGGCAGGAGTATTGCTTAAACCCGGGAAGCGGAGGTTGCAGTGAGCCAAGATCATGCCACTGCACTCCAGCCTGGGTGACAGAGTGATACTCTGTCTCAAAAAAAAAAAAAAAGATAATGCAGCTTTCAATATTATAAGCTTTATGTTCTCACACTTCTAAGTGATAATCAAATGTGTTACACCACTTTATACCCTGAGATCCAAAATACATAAATATTTGACAGTTTGTACAAGACTGTATTAATAAGAAAATGTGGCACATGTATAAAGAAAGGAATCTCACAGATTAAGGAAAATGACATTGATTACAAATGTCCTCAGCCTGAGTTGGCTGTGTTGCGTTTGTACACTTCAGCCCTCTGAGCTGAAGTGGGAGTGGTTTCTCTCCTGAAAATGTTTCTGAGGCCCAAATAGCTGAAGAGGTGGAGACGTTACAGAAACCACCTGGAGCCCCCAGAACTGGCAGACACCTGCCTGATGCTGCCATGGGCCCCCAGCTCCTTGGCTATGTGGTCCTTTGCCTTCTAGGAGCAGGTGAGTCCCAGAACACATAGGCAACTTTTGGCCTTATTTTGTAGGCCTCAGCCCAAGGCATCTCCTAAAGGCTTAAGCATTGGAGATCCCCTTCAGCGCTGCCTCTAACTCTGTCCCCTTCCTTTACAGGCCCCCTGGAAGCCCAAGTGACCCAGAACCCAAGATACCTCATCACAGTGACTGGAAAGAAGTTAACAGTGACTTGTTCTCAGAATATGAACCATGAGTATATGTCCTGGTATCGACAAGACCCAGGGCTGGGCTTAAGGCAGATCTACTATTCAATGAATGTTGAGGTGACTGATAAGGGAGATGTTCCTGAAGGGTACAAAGTCTCTCGAAAAGAGAAGAGGAATTTCCCCCTGATCCTGGAGTCGCCCAGCCCCAACCAGACCTCTCTGTACTTCTGTGCCAGCAGTTTATCCACAGTGTTGCACAGCCAGCTGCTCTCTGCACAAAAACAGAGGGTAGCTGCAAGAACAAGGAGACTCCTCCTTCAGGAGACCCCTCACCGACCAACAGGATAAACTTCCTCCATCATCCCACAGAAGCCCTTCCCCACACGCCAGCCTCAGGGACTCTGCAATGCAGCCACTCTGTGGAACCAGGGGTCCATCCTCTACCTGCTGTACCAATGAGGTTTCAAAGTTGGGCAGGACAAGCTCACTGAGTTAGGTCTAGTGCCAGGGTACACTCTCCCATCCTTTCTTCTTGTGGAGCTTAAATCTTTAAATTCAACTAAACTGTTGCCCAAACTGAAGACTCCATTTACAATCTAATGGGTCTCAACAATATTTGGTTCTGTATTCCAGGTCCTATTTATTCTGGAGGTTTTGTCACTTGGAGGAACACCATGTTTGGAGTTATTTATGAAACCCAGCACCTCCTATTTTCTTCCTCTCAGCAGATGGTCCAAATGCCCAAGCCAGAGATGCAAGACTGATCTTCACTCTCTCTCTGACTTTCTCCTTCCACACCAAATCCACTACCCTATCCTGCATTTTTCTAAGTACTAAATTCCTCACAAATTTTACTAACTTTTCTAATTTCACTGATCTCACCTGGATCACTTTAGCCACCTTCCAAGTAGCCACCCTACCTGCAAGCCTGCACCTGCTCCCACCCAAAACCACTCCCTCAAGCTTAAAACCCTTTGGTTTATTTCTATTAACTAGCTAAAGTCTCAAGTTTATGTTAGTTTGCAAGTCTCTCAGCCCCTCCATGATGTGACCTTTGCATATCCCCCACCTTTCTAACACTGACTTCCCTTATCCTTCAACTACCACAACTGCCTGCATCTACTCCAGAAACATCCCATTTCTCGCACATCCCCAAATATGTCCACTGCTGACTCACTCCTGGGTCTTTATCTACAATGGTCACTCTACCCAGAATACCATTTCTCTCTCTGGTATTCATCTGTTCTTCCAGCTGCTCTTTTTGTGCAGACTGCAGCTGGCTGTGCAGCACTGTGGATAAACTGCTGGTGCAAATGTACAGAGAGGTCTGGACTGGGCGACTCCAGGAATGGGGGAGATTCTCCTTCATAGACCAATTTAGAAGTCACTTCCTCCAAGACGATTGCCTTGAATCATTGACTGGATTATTTCTCCGCTGTGTGTTCTTCTAACAGCCTGAACAGAGCTAACACCAACACCGAGACACCACCATGAACTCACCAGCCATTGACTTCTCTGTTCTATAGCTTTTTGCCTCTTTGGAATAGGCATGTCATGGGTGCAGGTATGACGTCCTTGAACTTGGTTTGCTAGACCCTACATTAAGCCTTTTTCTGGTGGTTACACATCAGTATATTTCCTAAGTTCTCTCTTTTTAGCCACAATGTCCATGAATGCTGGTGTCACTGAAATTTCAGTTTATCAAGTTTCAGAGTCAGAATATAAAGTTCTATATTACAACCAGAATATGTTTTATGACCAATATGTGCTGAGCCAGACAAGAGGCAGGAATGAAGCTCCAACTAATCTATTTCTCAGTTGGTGCTTGGAGTACAAACAAATAGAGAGTCTCTAATAGACCTGTGTCTCTTGAGATAAGACTGAGCATTTCTTTTTTTTAATATATATATACTTTAAGTTCTATTTCTTGCAACCTCCAGACATCCAGCCCTTCATAGACACTGCCAGCCGTTAACCCGAAGCCCTGCACAGCCACTTCCTCTCTGAACAGAAAAGACTGCCACAAGGGGAGAGACGGTCTTACCTTCCTGAGCCTGCCCTTGCCAGAGGAAGCCACTGCCACCGCAGAAGCACTTAGGAGCCTTTCCCACCTCCTTGCACTGAGACTTATGGAACTCTTGAGGGCCCTAGTCTGTAAAAGTCCATCCCCGGCCTGGCGCAGTTGCTCATGCCTGTAATCCCAGCACTTTGGGAGGCTGAGGTGGGTGGATCATGAGGTCAGGAGTTCGAGACCAGCCTGGCCAACATGGTGAAACCCCATCTCTACTAAAGATACAAAAAATTAGTCAGGCATGATGGTGCACACCTATAATCCCAGCCACTTGGGAGGCTGAGGCAGGAGAATTGCTTGAACCCAGGAGATGGAGGTTGCAGTGAGCCGAGATCGCACCATTGTACTGCATCCTGGGTGACAGGATGAGACTCCGTCTCAAAAAAAAAAAAAAAAATCTATCCCCAGATCACGGTGCGCCTGTGAGACAGAGCTGTCAATGTCCTCTTTCCCTTCCTTCTCATTTGCTGTTTCAATAGGGCTTCATCAGCCTGAGTTCTTTATTAGAATTGACCTGCATCAATCCAGTGCCCCCCTCATACCACCTACTAGGGAAGGCTGCATTCTACATTACGGTCTTCAGGGATCCTCTCTGGGGCCCCACATGCTTCCCTTTTTGTTTACCTGTGTCTCGGGGCAATTTTAATCTTAGTCTTATACTTTTCATTTAAGCAGGTTAGGCTACACTATACACTTACAGATTTTGCCAGTAGAAGCTTTGAGACTTCACATCTTGTAAAATAAAAAAAAAAAATTGTACTAAAGATAACAATGTTTATGGTTGTGAAGCTTTTTTTGTAAGCAAATAGTCTGGTGAAACTGAAGTTCAAAGGTGTTTGTGTTGGGTAGCTGTGTCAGTATGCTTGATTTATGGTAAGGCCAAGTCTGTTGGATTAGATATTAGATATTCACAGTAATGTCAAAACTAAGGAATATAGTCTGAATAATTACAATAACTATTTTATATTATTGCAAACAACTTAAAAACTATTGTGACTTGATTGATTCATACTATGCATGGATACAGTTTCAAAACCTGTTTAGACCATCAGAAAGTTTTAATGAATAATGTTAGCAAAATAACCACAAGTAAAGTGTTACCGGAAAATGCAGTATAAGCATCACACTGACAGTTGTAGCTGACCCTTTTGTTTTGATCAGTGGTTCTCGATGTGTACCAAAATTACTTGGTGAGATTTCTTTTTATTGTGGGAATAACACTTAGCATGAAATCTAACCTTTAAACAAAACTAATGTGCAATATGATATTGTTAACTCTAGGTACAATGTTGCATAGCAGATTTCTAGAATGTAATTATCTTGTATAATTGAAACTTTACACCAATTGAATGGCAGCTCAGTTCTTCCTTCTCCCATTTTCCTGGCAATTATCATTCTGTTCTCTGCTTCTCTGTGTTTGACATAATGCTAAGTGAAATGAGCCAGTCACACAAGGACAAATCTTTCATTGAAGGAGTCTTTTATCACCAAAAGTATTTAGAATTCCTGGCACTTGGTGATAATAAAAGCAAAACCATTTCACTTGGGTTTTATGATTGTTTTAAAATGCTTTGCACCCTTTATCGCTTGCACCTGGGGCTGAACACACCTACCACCCCATTATTGATATACCACCATCTCCCCAACCCCATCAGGTAAACCTACACATGTGAGCACTCACATGAACCTACACATGTGGATTTGAACCAGATTCAAACCCAGGCAGCATAGTTCCAAAGCCTGCCCTATTACCCAATATGCTACTTGTAGTAATTATTAAGTATATTGTATGAGAAACTAAGACTGCTCTCAATAAAATATATGTTGAGAGTGAGGAGAGACAGACAGAGAGAGAGAGAGAGAGAGAAAATGGTAAGGTTTTCCTAATCACAGTTGGTCAGGAAAAAAATTACCTTCACTTTCAAAGACTGAGACTCACCAGAAGGACTCATGGGACTCGGCGTGTCCTTGTACTCATAGCAAAGATGTATCACAAATATGTAGTAAGAATACTATGATCACAAGGAACAAAGACATGGTGGACTTTGGAGAAATCCATGTGAGACTTCCTTATGTTCTCTTCCATGAGAGAGCACACTCTCACCCCAACAATGAAAATGCAGCAACGTGAGAACAACCTTTCTGCCCAGGGAAGCTCATTAGAGACTCAGCACCTCCAATACTTTCAGTGGCTGGTGTTAGGTGCTGAATCGTGTCATTAAACATTCATATGTTGAAATCCCAGCCTCCAGTACTAAGAATATGACTATGTTTGGAGATAAGGATTTTACAGAGGTGGTTAAGGTTAAATGAGGTCCTCACTAATATGACTGGGATCCTTATAAGAAGAAATTAGGACACAAACATGCATAGAGGGAAGACAATGTGCAGACACAGGGGGAAGCCATCTACAAGCCAAGGAGCGAGGCTCCACGAGAAACCAACCATGCTGACACCCCGATCTTGGATGTCTAGTCTCCAGATGTATGAGAAAATACATTTCTGTTGCTTAAATGACCTAGTCTGTGGTGACTTATGGCAGCCCTCGCAAAATAATTCAGCTGATCACATTGGCACCCTCTGCCTATCATGCAGCATAATTCCAGACTTGACGTAAAGCAAGTGTTCAGCCTAACCCACGTGGTTTGTGCAAGCAGTCTAGACACACTAAGCCATGCTTACCAGTTACTATAGTGGGAACACTCCCAAAATTCAAGTTCGCAGATGCAAATCAAGAGCCAACCATGCAAGCAGTCCCTTCTAAGGCCAGCAGTCTCAGGCCCGCTGTGTCAACTCTTTTCTATACGTGCACATACACACAGTGACACTTCCATGAGCACAAGGGATGTCCTTCACTCTCTAGCACCTCTAGACCCTTTCTAGTCTAGACAATGGCTGAGGGATTATGAGAGTGGGCCGGGACAATGACATCACAGACCATCAACCCACTGCCTGGTCCTGGGAGAAGACCTATTCTTTCTTCAAAGCAGCCATGGGAATCAGGCTCCTCTGTCGTGTGGCCTTTTGTTTCCTGGCTGTAGGTGAGTCCTGGGAGTTGCTGGGTCTGGGGAGTTGGTGGCAACCCCTGTCCTACTATTTTGAGGTCTTTTATACCAAGCTCTTTTCTCCTCTCCTCCTTGATGGCCTGTTTTTCACCCTTGCTTTCTGTCTCTCACAGGCCTCGTAGATGTGAAAGTAACCCAGAGCTCGAGATATCTAGTCAAAAGGACGGGAGAGAAAGTTTTTCTGGAATGTGTCCAGGATATGGACCATGAAAATATGTTCTGGTATCGACAAGACCCAGGTCTGGGGCTACGGCTGATCTATTTCTCATATGATGTTAAAATGAAAGAAAAAGGAGATATTCCTGAGGGGTACAGTGTCTCTAGAGAGAAGAAGGAGCGCTTCTCCCTGATTCTGGAGTCCGCCAGCACCAACCAGACATCTATGTACCTCTGTGCCAGCAGTTTATGCACAGCGCAGCACAGCCGCATCCTCTCTGCACAAAAAGAGCGGACGTAAGAGAGAAGGGGCCCTAACTCAGGGCTGGTGCTGGCTCCGATGGCACATTCGTGCTAAATAGAAAAAAAGCGGCCACTAAGGAGAAACTAGCTCCATAAGCACACTTCTTTGCAAGGAGAGAATGAGGTATTATTTTTCACCCCTTTACAAGTCAGGGACTGTTCTGGATTTAATTCCCCCAGTCCGATGTGTTGTAAATTCACGAGTCCCAACAAGGAGGAAAAGTCCTCTCGCATATTCACAGTGTAACCCTGTTCTACCATTTCGTTAATCAATTTTACCTTCCCTTTTCTATCCTCGTCTCTCTTAACTGTGCATTTTCTACTTTGCTTAGTGTTTTGCTCTTGGTTGACATTTCACTAGAGGACATTAACATATTCTAAATTCTTTCGATGATTTTTACTGTGCCTGTGCTGATTCAAGAGAAAGTTTGTGGAATTTGAATTTTGTTCATTCAATTTAGAAAGAGAAAAACTCTGATTAAAACAAATTCTTCCAGGTTCTCCGATCAATCATATTTTGCTGGAAAAAATTCTGATCACAGAAGGTTTAAACTCTGCTGCAGAAGGTGGTAGGAATTTGGTTATAACTGAACTCACAATCTTCTGGAAAAAGTGTGTATTTGTCTGTCTTTAAGAATAAAACATATGCTCTTCTGTCAGTAAAAATTAACAGTGCTTTGGAAATACAAATAAATGTAAAGGGTATTAGAAATCCCAAACTGCAGAGCACTTGCACAATTATTATTGGCAAGACAAAACAGGCATCTGAAAACGTATTTTGATTCAGTGCTAAATTTTTGTGTGGAAGAAGTCAGAGAAAAAAATTGAATGAATGTGTATCACAATATTCAAGATTAAGTTTGTGTGAGATAGGACTTGAGCTGATTTTGAATACAAGTAAATGAGGGAAGAGAAACCATCAAAAGGAAGAAATACCCTGCAAATGTTTCTGTGAGAGAGTCTACCAGAAGGAAGAGGAAGATTCTTTCCCTGAGGAAAGACAGGAATCACAATTCTCCTGGCCGAGGTCAACATCCAGAACAGAGAAAGCACATCTTCCCAGAATATCATTAAAATCCTTTCCCTTTTGCGCCGAGAATACATGCTAGCGGTGCTTGCGGCTGCAGCGTTTCCCCTGAGATAACACACAAGGTTTGATACAAGAAATTCTTTCTCCACCTTCTAAACATTACAGTGCTTAACTCCTACATCCTGTTCAAGAAGGAGAATTCTGAGCACACGGTTTGCCATAGAAACTTCAGACTGACATTGATTAAAAGGATGCTGAAAAAGCATCGTGAGCCAGGGCAGCAACGTCTCTGGGGTCGTCCACGCTCTGATGATGTCACACCTCTTGGCCCACCTGGAAGACATTTTCCCAACAGCATTACCACCATCAAAGAAACAAAACCCAACTGGTCACTGCACTTTTGCTGCTCACACAATGACGAGGATGGCAAGATCTATAGAGAACGGCAATATTTTTGTGCGGAATGTGATGTTTCACTTTCTGTTGTTCCGTGCTTTGAAATTTTCCCACACGAAAAAATTATCTAATAGTGATTATTATATACATTTCTGTGATGTTAGGATTAGAGGCCAGTTCTGTTTAGAAATAATTCCAAGAACAGTTTTTATATTTTATTTTCATGTTGATAATCAGTCAAATTTGCTTCAGCCTCAAAGAGCATGTTTATGTCAAATTAAATGAATGCTGGCAGCGAGCTGCACTTTTTTTACTAAACAGGAAAAGGGTTAAATAACAGAACACTGTATCTACAGATTTTCATATTCAGTGAAACTTCAGGTTTTCTGAGAGTCCTACATTTTCCCACAGATTATTTATTTCTTATAGCAAGTATTGCCCAGACTCAGAAGATCAACTGCAAGAGATGGGAACAGGTACCAGCACTTTGCGTCCATTCCCAGGGCTATGTGGGACCATTTCCAACACAGGGGTCATCACCTCAATTGAGTCCCTGGTAGAAAGAGTGCTATGCCAGACTCAGCTTCCCTTCTGGCATGGTTACCACCTGCTCCCTCCAACACAGCCTCACCTTGCTAAGAAAATGCAGCCCAGGGAGAGAGGAAGAACACATAAAAAAATGAAAATGAAAATAGGCAGAGATGGAGTATCAAACATCAAAGTGAGTAACAGAAGACATCTAAAGAGGTCAAAAGGATTGTAGATTGGGATAGGAGGTTTGAATTTAGAAAAAAAATGAAAAAGTGTTCACGGGGGAGTTCACAGTTTACAGAATAGACTTTTTTTTTCTTCTTCTTTTGAAATGGAGTCTCGCTCTGTTGCTGAGGCTGGAGTGCAGTGGCACAATCTTGGCTAATTGCAACCTACACCTCCCAGGTTCAAGTGATTCTCCTGCCTCAGCCTCCCGAATAGCTGGGATTACAGGCGCACGCCACCATGCCTGGCTAATTTTTGTTATTTTTAGCAGAAATGAGTTTTCATTATGTTGGTCAGGCCGGTCTCGAACGCCTGACCTCTTGATCTGCCCACCTTGGCCTCACAAAGTGCTGGGATTACAGGTATAAGCTACCACGCCTGACCCACATAATAGACTTTTAAAGGCACATAATAGATCATGGATGTTTACCATGAGGGTACAGAGAATAATTCAGAAAATGTAAACCATTATTTCACTAAACATACATAAACATACATCACATTAGGAGACCAACAAATTCACAGAACATAAAAATTGATACTCTAAATCTCCAAGTAAGCAATGTTTGTTTATCTATTTATTTATTTTGTTTTACTTTAAGTTCAGGGATAGATGTGCAGAATGTGCAGGTTTGTTACATAGGTATACATGTGCCATGGTGGTTTGCTGCATCTATCAACCTGTCATCTAGGTTTTAAGCCCTATAAGCATTAGCTGTTTGTCCTGATGCTCTCCCTCCCCTCGCCCCCGACCCCCAACAGGCCCTAGTGTGTGTTGTTTCCCTCCCTGTGTCCACATGTTATCACTGTTAAACTCCCATTTATGAGTGAGAACATGCGGTATTTGGTTTTCTGCTCCCATGTTAGTTTGCTGAGGATAATGGCTTCCAGCTTCATCCATGTCCCTGGAAAGGACATGATCTCATTCCTTTTTATGGCTGCATAGTATTCCATGGGGTATACATGCCACATTTTCTTCATCCAGTCTATCATTGATAGGCATTTGGGTTGGTTCTATGTCTTTTAAGCAATGTTTTAAATTATGTGATTTGGGAAAATATAACAAAATAAATTATTTTTTGTTGAATGGGAGTATTAACAGGGCTCTTTGATGGGACATGGCTGGGAAGATGTCTGGCCTCTTCCTGCAGGGAACAAGGAAAATTTAGAGAAGGAGGCAATTTTTTTTTCTCTAGAGTCCACTGAGATATCACAGGTAGTTTATACATATAAAATACAGCAGCCCTGACATACAGATATTATTTTCTCCTAATTAAAAATAAATTTAAATAAGTGAAGTGTAATTAAACCTAAATTTAAATGACTTGCCTATAACCTCACAGCTGAAAAGTTAGTGGAAAGGCATGTTTCTATATTGTTTTTTAAATAATAAGATAATTGAATCCAAGATAGGTATATTTCCATCTTCAGCTGAATGGGTCCCAAGACCAACCATTAGGTGAAAGACGTAATCCACACAGCCAGGGAATTCTACCTTCTACCTTTGTAACAGCAAGATAGCCATAGCACCAAAGACATTTTTAATGTCTTAGCACAAGCTTCTAACACCTCCATTTTGAAGTAGAAGGATGAAGGCTTGAGAGCAGAAACTGGATCTTGTTAGTGATGGACAAGTGGACATAGTCATATTAATTGTGCGTTTTACAAGATTCTTTGATAATCACTATTAAACCAGCTGTAGATACACTGTATCATCATTTATCTCCCATGTCACCATCATATCATAAGATTAACATTGATGACTTTGAAAATTTGCTGCTAAAATTAAATTATCTCAATTTTCCAGTATCCTCCTAACTGACCTAGCCAATTTTGTATGGCTTGAAAAATTGGGAAGTCTTCTCATCTGTGCTAGATCTTCTTCAATTAATTTCAATTCATTAAAACAGAAATAGCAAGAAACTAAGAGTCAATGGGGTTTCTTCATCCCATCATTCCCTATAAAGGGCAGTGACAAGCACCTAGATGTAACATAGATTTCTTCTGCCCTCTGTTGAGGGCATCAGAACTGGCTCAGTTCACTCAGACATCGGTGGCAGAAAGTTGAGGGAGATTTCCTTTATGCTTAAGCCTTCAGTAGAATAAACTGGTACCTGTTCTATCCAATGGATGCTGTCTTATTTAACTTGGGACACTGAAGGGGTACTATTCACTAATGAAAACATTAAAAAGCAGACCATAAGATATTTTAAAGAAAGAGAAAACATAATGAAGGATGTATAATCATTACATAGTGTATCAGTCTGTTTTCACACTGATGATAAAGACATACCCGAGACTGGGAAGAAAAAGAGGTTTAATTGGACCTAAGAGTTCCACATGGCTGGGGAGGGTTCAGAATCATGGCAGGAGGTGAAAGGCACTTCTTACATGGTGGCAGCAAGAGAAAAATCAGAAAGAAGCAAAAGCAGAAACCCCTGAGAAACCCATCATATCTCGCGAGACTTATTCACTATCATGAGAATAGCTCAGGAAAGACTGGCCCCCATGATTCAATTACCTCCCCCTGGGTCCCTCCCACAACACATGGAATTCTGGGAGATACAATTCAAGTAGAGATTTGGGTGGATACACAGCCAAACCATATCCTTCTGCCTCAGTCCCCTCCAAATCTGATGTCCTCACATTTCAAAACCAATCATGCCTTCCCAACAGTCCCCCAAAGTCTTAATTCGTTTCAGCAATTACCCAAAAGTCCACAGTCCAAAGTCTCATCTGAGACAAGGCAAATCCCTTCCACCTATGAGCCTGCAAAATAAGCTAGTTACTTCCTAGACACAATGGGGATACAGGGATTAGATAAATACAGCCATTCCAAATGGGAGAAATTGGCCAAAACAAAGGGGTTACAAGTCCCCATGAAAGTCTGAAATCCAGTGGGGCAGCCAAATTTTGAAGCTCCAAAACGATCTCCTTTGACTCCAGGTCTGACATCCAGGTCATGCTGGGGCAAGGGGTGGGTTCCCATGGTCTTGGGCAGCTCCACTCCTGTGGCTTTGCAGAGTACAGTCTCCCTCCCGGCTGCTTTCACAGGCTGGCATTGAGTGCATGTGGCTTTTCCAAGTACACAGCACAAGTTGTTGGTGGATCTACCATTCTGGGGTCTGGAGGACGGTGGCCCTCTTCTCACAGCTCCACTAGGCCGTACCCAGGTAGGGAATTTGTGTGGGGGCTCCAAACCCACATTTCCCTTCTGTGCTGCCCTAGCAGAGGTTCTCCATGAGAGCCCCACCCCTGCAGCAAATTTTGCCTGGGCATCCAGGCCTTCTCATACATCTTCTAAAATCTAGGTGGAGGTTCCCAAACCTCAATTCTTGACTTCTGTGCACCTACAGGCTCAACACCACATAAAAGGTGCCAAGGCCTCCACCCTCTGAAGACACAACCTGAGCTCTATGTTGGCCCCTTTCATCTATGGCTGGAGTGGCTGGGACACAGGACACCAAGTCCCTAGGCTGCACATGGCATGGGGACCCTGGGCCTGGCCCATTAAACCAGTTTTTCATCCTGGACCTCCAGGCCTGTAATGGGAGGGGCTGCCATGAAGGTCTCTGACACGGCCTGGAGACATTTTCCCATGGTTTTGGGGATTAACATTAGGCTTCTTGTGCAAATTTCTACAGCTGTCTTGAATTTCTCCTCAGAAAATGGTTTTTTTTCCACTGCATTGTCAGGCTACGAATTTTATAAACTTTTATGTTCTGTTTCCTTTTTAAAATGGAATGCTTTTAATAGCACCCGAGTCACCTTTTGAACACTTTGCTGCTTAGAAATTTCTTCTGCCAGATACGCTAAATCATCTCTCTCAAGTTCAAAGTTCCATAAATCTCTAGGGTGGGGAGAAAATGCCATCTGTCTCTTTTCTAAAACATAACAAGAGTCACCTTTGCTCCAGTTCCCAACAATTTCCTCATCTCCATCTGAAACCACCTCAGCCTGGACCTTATTGTTCATATCACTATCAGCATTTTTGTCAAAGGCATTCAACAAGTCTCTAGGAAGTTCCAAGCTTTCCCACATTTTCCTGTCTTCTTCTGAGTCCTCCAAACTGTTCCAATCTCTGCCTGTTACCCACTTGCAAAGTTGCTTTCACATTTTCGGGTATCTTTTCAGCAACACCCCACTCTACTGATACCAATTTTCTGTATTAGTCCATTTTCATGCTGCTGATAAAGACATACCTGTGACTGGGAAGAAAAAGTTTAATTGGACTTACAGTTCCACAGGGCTGCGGAGGCCTCAGAATCATGGCGGGAGGCAAAAGGCACTTCTTACATGGTGGTGGCAAGAGAAAAAAGAGAAAGAAGCAAAAGTGGAAACCCCTGATAAAACCATCGGATCTTATGAGACTTACTATCATAGGAATAGCACAGGAAAGACCGGCCCCCATGATTCAATTACCTCCCTGTGGGTCCCTCCCACAGTGCATGGGAATTCTAGGAGATACAATTCAAACAGAGATTTGGATGGGGACACAGCTAAACCATATCACATAGTATATATTGAAAATGTATTGTCAAGTATCTTGGATGAGATACACATTGCCAGATACCATACAGTTACCTGCCTAAGAAAATAAGCCAATAATTATAGTCTATTAATGGTAACATTAGACAGACAAATGCTTACATGGTAATGCCAGAGCCCATGGTTTGAGATGCTCTGACATGTGATGGGTCTCATACATCACTTTCTTGTCTAAAAATAGTAGCTAAGTGTTCTGAAACCTTGCCCTCAATGAACTCATATTTCTTAATTATTGCCATTCTGCTTTACAAATGCTCAAAAATCTGCATATTTAATATTCAGTTATGAATATATTTTATGCATGTGTAGGGTGGCAGGATAAGAAGAGGGATGATGTTAAATTTACTAACTTATAATTTCTAGGTGTAGAACTATTGCTTGCCCATATCTGAATATTAAAGCTATATTTGTCCTTCTTTGAATTTTGATTATACTGTCTCTTCCATTTTATTTATTAAAAATTATGACCAGAGAGAGTGTGTGTAGTTGATACCCAAAGCAGAAAATCAAGTTATAGATGACTAGTTTATAAATTAAACAGAAATCCCTTACTCTCACCCTTCACAGACCATCTAAGCAATACATCAAATGCTAGTAGCCAACATTCTTCTTTTTGACAGGAAACTAGAAGTTTATTCTAAGAAACTAAATAAGAAGATCTCAAGCCTTGGAATTACATGGCATATCAAGAGTGATATGAGATGCAGGGCTAAAGACAAAGAGAATAATTGATATATAAATATATAGTCTCATATAGTCAATTATCCAGTTTCTCTTGTTGAGAACTGTTAATGATATGAGATTTTACCATACTTGCAAGCTAAGAGCTTGACAACATTCCATGGATGCTAGCAGAAGACAAGAGACTGCTGGATTACAGACAAAGTATTTTTAATACTCTCAACACAGCAGGCAGCATGAGCTTCATATGTCTATAAGTGACCTGTGCCTGCCCCTCTGCCCAGTTCCCCAACAGTGACACAGAGCAGTTTCTGGATGCTGTGGCTTTTCCCAAACCTCATCAATCTTTGTCTCATGGGGGTACATTGTGTTTATTATCCTGGATAGCAAACAGATCCAGAGGGAGATGTTGTCTCTGTCTTCCAGGTTGATTGCTATACAAACATTCTTGACAAGATAGTCCAAATGAAAAGTTGATATAAGTTGTGCAGAAATGTCAGAGACCCATGAAGAATTAACTCTCAACACCTCTCCACTGCCTTTGGCACAGAACAAGTAGGTAACTATACCCACAGTAGCATAATAATATATTTTTATTTGAAGAAATTGAGCAGCCCCTGAAAAGAGACTTACAAATACTGATATTTCAGTGTCCCTTACGAAACAACCAGTTCCCCGCCAAATCTCTTCAAGTAAAATCTCCTAGCAAACAAGTACCATCCATATTACCAGGCTTTCAGTCAGGTTTTTAGTGCTTTACTCTTAAAAATCAATATACAATCAAAGATCACTAGTATACAAAGTTTCTAACATAGATAGAAAGGAAAAGGATACAGACATTAAAAGAAAGAAGAGAAAAAGAAAATAAAAAACAAGAAACAGAAAAAGGAAATGAAATTAAATAAATAGTGGGAACAAAGAAAATTGACTCAAGCATATAAAATAAAGAAAAAAAGTGGACTTCTAAGTAGTAATCATGTAAATTCTTGTTTCTATCCCAGACAGATATAAGAAACACATCGTCCTTAAAACAGAATAAGATAAAGGGGAGAAACTTTAAGAAAGTCAAAATAAATTTTTAAAATAAGAGTCAAAAGAAAACTCGATATAACATCCCAGAAAATAGAACAAAAAGTTCAAGAAGTTAAATAACAGAAAACATGAAAGAAAATATAAGTGACTTGAAGGGTGAACAAAGGAGAGTCAACTGTCCAAGAGAAACTCCAGAAAAAAGAAAAAAAAAATTTTTAATTATCAGAGAAATTATACCCTAAAAATTAGTTCCCAGAAATGAAAAAAAATTAGCCTCCATATTTTAAAATGCCTGCTGTTGGCTAATTAATGTCAGACAACTGAAATGAAGGCATATCTTCATGATTTCAGAACACTGGGGATTAAATGATTCTAAACCACAAAAAGACAAAGAAAATGTTAAAAATCAAAATTATACTTAGAGAAAAGTGATAAATAAATGCAAAAGTGGAATGACATCACATTTCTACACAGCAACGCTGAATTCCAGAAAAAAAGGTGCAAGAAATATCAATAAAATTCTGATAGAAAATCATTTTAATCTTAGATTTCTCTACTAACCCAATATATCAATAAAATGCAAATAAAAAGACATTTTTAATAATGTTAGGATCCAAAACATTTACCTCCATCTCAAGCTTTCTTAGGAAATTACTGGCTAGTATGTCTCAGCAAACTGAGAAAACAAACCAAAAAGAAAAAAAAAATGGGGTCCAGGAAATAGAAATTCTCATTCAGAATAATAAGAAAGAAAAGTGCCAGGATAAAAGCTGGGCAGTGGAACTAATTAGCAACTAGCCCAGACTAAAGCAGAGGGACTCCAGGGTTGCATTTTCAAATAGTGCCAAAACGTAGACTATGGATCTATTAAATGATACATCTGAGTAACTCATCCACAATTTTGTAGTATCAGTTTGCATGGCCTGTCAAAAATCCAGATCCATCCTGGAGAAGGTGATCCCATTAAAAAGAATCCAGATTATTCAGCAATATCAAATATAGGTAGAAACCAAAAGACAAAAATCTGCTGATTTTTCAAACCATTAAAAAGATTGATGCAGTTCTGGTAATGGCATCATAATTCTTATAAGACCCACGCTCCCACAAATAACAAATATAAACTCAGGACGAACATTTTTAAAGCCTATCTTAAGGGACAGCAAAGCAACCAATAGCCAGTAGAAACTACAGGGAAGTCAACACTTGGATGACAGGTAAGTTTTCTGTTTTTGTAGCTTTTTGCTGGAAAGTAGTTCCCAGTCAAATAGAAACCCATTAAAAAGCCAGCTGTAGAGTTAGGAAAGACATCCAAGAAGGGAAAGTCCAAAAAAGAACAACCCAATGTTCTCCATACAAACTCTGTTTGAATCTCTGGTTGATGCCTAAACTATGCATGTGAGAGGAATACTGGAATCAGCAGTGTTAAACCTAACATAACTGGATAGAGATTTCAGCTGTTGCCGGCTATAGGAAACAGAATTTGAAGTATAAATCCAACCAAGTTAAATGCCTGTTAAAACAAAAATCCAACCATCGTTAGAAGGATAAAACAAAATCTAGATATATTGTTGACAATGTCCAAGATACAACGCAAAAATTACCAGGCATATGAAGAAAAGAAATCACATGACCTAATTTGAATGAAGAGGCCATTAGTGGATACAAACTTTGAGTTTACCTGGATGCTGGAATTACTAGACTGAAATTTAAAGTAGCTATTATAATCATGTTTAAGGATATAAAAGAAAATGTTCTTATAATGAATAAAATAGGAACGTTTATAACAATAATGAAACCTATTAAAAATAAATGAAAAATTTAAAATTTAAACTGCAATATTTGAAAATTAAATAAAATCTCACTAAACGAAATCTCTAGCAGATTAGAGATGACGGAAGAAAGATTCAGAAACTTGATGTTATATCCATAGAAATTACAAAATCTAGAAAACAGGAGAAAAAATATGAAAAAATAGCCTCAGTGATCTTTAGAAAAATATCAAAAGGTACAAAATGTGTGAAATTGGAGTAAAAGTGAAAGAAGAGGAGATATAAAAAAGCATGGATAAAAAACAATATTTTTTTAAAAAAGCCTAATTAAAAAGTATATTGAAAGACATAAAAAGAATTTCAGAAAAATAATTTGTAGAACACCTACCTAGGCACATCACAGTCAAATTGTCCAAAACTAGAAAAGAAGACAAAATCTTCAAACAGCCAGAGAAAAATCATACATACCAGGAACAATGACATGAATAATGATAATTTTTCATTTTAAAAAAGTGAATACCAGAAGAGAAGGGAACTGTAGCTTTAAAGTGCTACAAGAAATATAAAAAGTCAACCCAGAATTTGATATAAAATATTCAGCTAAAAATTAAAATACTACAGTAAAGTTATCTGAATATAAATAAAAATTAAAATATCCATTGACAGTAGAACTACATGATAGTAAATCGCAATGGAATTCTCTTAGGTAAAAAAGAAATAATACCAGTTGGAAGCTTGGATTGTGAGGAAGAAATGAAGAGCACAAGAAGTAGTGAAATGCAGTCAGATATATTACATATATCATATGTAAGACTAGCTAAAGTAAAAATTTCATCATTGTATTATAGGATATATAAAATATATATAATACAGAATGACACTAAAATCTAAAGGATGGAAATAGGAAAAACAGATCTATTAGATACAAATTTCTTATATTTTAAGTAAACTTCTACAATATAGTAAGTAGACAAATAGTTTTAAATGTATCATTCTTTATTTTCCAGAATAGCCCTGAAAATATTAGAGGTATAGCAAAAAGCCAACAAATAAAAATCAAAACAGAATCTAAAAATATTATTCAAATATTTAAATAGAGTCAATTCTAGGAGAAAGTTTGGTATAATATTAAAAAATCAATCAATGTAATTCATCTTGTTAACACATTTTTAAAAATCTATTTGATTATACGTACAGATAGAAAAAACTTGGTAAAATTCCAAACTCATTTATAATAAAAACACTCAGAAAATTAGGTAAAAAAGGGACTTCTTCAATCTAACAAAGGCACCTGAAAAAAACCAACAGCTTATGTCACACTTAATGACAGAAATATTAAACGTCTTCCCATTTTTATTTCTTAAATATTAAACATGTTCAAGATCATAAACAAGTCAATAATGTTCACCCTTACCACTTCTATTCCATATTGTACTGATGCATAAAGACAAGAAAAATACTAAAAAGCTAGGTATCAAAAGATAAAGAAAACCTTTTTCAGAGATGAAAGGACTACTTACATGCAAATATTAAAAGAAATCTATATATTAACTACTCAAATTAGTAAGTTCATACATTAATTTATTATTACAACATATAAAAATTATATTTTGTATACTAATGATAAACAATTGGATAATTGAATTTTAAAACCTGAATTTATATTAAAAAACATAAAATATTTAAATTTAGCAAAAGACATGCAAGACTTGTGTACAGAAAACTAAAAACAGTTGCTAAAGGAAATGAAAGACAGTTTTAAAATATAGAAATAGAAATAATGTCCTGTTGCAGCCTCTGCCTCAGGAGTCCCCTGCAGCCTGGAACACCTAGCAAAAGAAATGCAGGTGCAGTGCCAGGGATTGGAGCTGGATCCCCACAAGTCCTAGAAGCAAACCTTGTGAGGGGGCCATCTGTCTCCCCGACCCACCTCAGAGCATGCCTGTGAACAAGAAAGTACGAGAGCCACACAAGCTGGGTGTTAGCCTAGCTACCGGCCGTTACTCTTAAGCGCATCTACTGGATCACAGCACAAACTACAACACTAAAATTACCGTGCTAATATATGCAGGATGTGAAACCAGGTGCAAGAATTCACCCACATATGCGGATTCTGTACAGAGCCCTGGCCCTCCGAAAGCATCCAGAAATGAAGCCAACTGACCACACTCAGCTTACACCACAGTTAAGGGAACACCAACCCTACCAGATGAGAAAGAATCAGCACAAGAACTCTGGCAATTCAAAAAAACCACAGCATCTCCTTACATCCAAATGGGTCACTAGCTCCCTAGAAATGGTTCTTAACCGGTCTGAAATGGCTGAAATGACAAACACAAAATTCAGAATCTGGATAGAAAGGAAGCTCATTGAGATTCAGAAGAAAGTTGAAACTCAATCCAAGGAATCCAAGTAACCCAGTAAAATGATCCAAGAACTGAAAGATGAAATAGCCATTTTGAGAAAGAATCAAAATAAACTTCTAGAGCTCAAAAATTTACTACAAGAATTTAATAATGCAATAAGAAGTATTAACAGCAGAATACACCAAGCTGAGGAAAGAATCTCAGAGCTTGAAGACCAGTTCTTTGAATCAACTTAGATGAAAATAAAGAAAAAAGAATTTTAAAAAATGAACAAAACTGGCCAGGCACGGTGGCTCACACCTGTAATCCCAGCCCTTTGGGAGGCCAAGGCTGGTGGATCACGAGTTCGGGAGATCGAGACCATCCTGGCTAACACGGTGAAACCCCGTCTCTATTAAGAATATAAAAAAATTAGCTGGGCATGGTGGCGGGCACCTATAGTCCCAGCTACTCAGGAGGCTGAGGCAGGAGAATGGCATGAACCTGGGAGGCGGAGCTTGCAGTGAGCCGAGATAGTGCCACTGCACTCCAGCCTGGGTGACAGAGCGAGACTCCATCTCAAAAAAAAAAAAAAAATAAGGAAATAAGAAATATAGGGTTATGTAAAGATACCAAATCTATGCCTCATCGGCATTCCCAAAATAGGAGAAAGAGTAAGCAATTTCAAAAATATATTTGAAAAATATATTTTTCAAAAATATAAATAATGCCTAATATAAATATAAATAATGCCAAAAATCGCCTAATCTTGCTAGAGAGGTTGAAATTCAATTCCAAGAAATACAGAGAACCCTGGCTAGTTACTATATGAGACAACTATCCCCAAGACACATAGTCATCAGATTCACCAAGGTCAAGGTAAAATAAAAAAAATTCTAAAGGCAGCTAGAGTGAAGGGTCAAGTCACATACAGAGGAAACCCCATCAGGCTAGCCACAGACTTCTCAGCAGAAAACTTATAAGCCAGAAGAGATTGGGAGACTATTTTCAGCATCCTGAAAAAAATTCAACTAAAAATGTTATATCCTGCCAAACTAAGCTTCATAAATGAAGGAGAAATAAAATCCTTCTTAGACAAGCAAATCTGAGGAAATTTGTTTTAAGTAGACCATCCTTACAAAAGGTCCTTAAGGTAGTGCTAAATATGGAATCTAAAGAACCTGCTGCCATAAAACACTTGAATGCATAGCCCACAGGCACCACAAAGCAACTACGCTATCAAATTTACATAACAACCAGCTAACAACATGGGTATGAGATCAAAATCACACACATCAATACTAATCTTGAATATAAATGGGCTAAACATCTGCTTAAAAGACATTGAGTGGCAAACTAGATAAAAACACAAGACCCAGCCATCATTGCCTTCAAGAGACCCATCTCACATGTAACAACACCCACAGGCTCAAAACAAAGAGAGGGGAAAATATCTATCATGCAAATGAAAAACAAAAAAGGACAGGAGTTGCTATTCTTATATCAGATAAAACAAACATTAAACAATGAAGGGCATTACTATAATGATAAAGAGTACAATCCAACAAGAAGAACTAACAATGCTAAATATATATGCATCCAACATTAGAACACCCATATCCATAAAACAAGCTCTTCTTGGCCTATGTAAAGATTTAAACAACCAAACAATAATAGTAGGAAACTTCAACACCCTACTGACAGTGTTAGACAGATCACTGGGCAGAAAACTAACAAAGAAATGCTGGGCTTAAACTCAACATTTAACCAGTTGAAACTAATAGACAAATACAGAACACTCCACCCAAAAGGAATGCTTATACACTGTTGGTGGAAACGTAAATTAGTTCAGGCACTGAGGAAAGCAGTTGGAGATTTCTCAAATAATTTAAAACAGAGCTACCATTCCACCTAGCAATCCCATTATTGAAGATATATCCAAAGGAAACTAGATCATTATACCAAAATGCACTCATATGTTCATCACCATGCAATTCACAATAGCAAAGACATGGAATCAACCGAGGTTCCCATCAACGATGGATTGGATGAAGAAAACATATACACCATGGAATACCACACAGGCCTAAAAAAGAATGAAATCAAGTTGTTTGCAGCAACATAAATAGAGCTGAAGGCCGTAGTCCTAAGTAAATTAATGCAGGAACAGAAAACCAAATACTACATGTTCTCACTTACAAGTGGGAACTAAACATTGAGCGCACATGAACACAAACATGGGAATGATTGACACTGAGCACTACTCAAGGGGAAGAGAGAGGGAGGTTGACACGGGTTGAAAAACTACCTATTGGGTACTATGTTCACTATCTGGGTGCAGTATACCCGTGTAACAAACCTTCATATGTACCCCCTGTATCTAAAATAAAAGTGAGAATTTTAAAAAGACTAAATATGTTAAAACCAGTACTCTCTAAATTTTATCTACAGTCATTAAAATCTCAATTGTTATCTCAACTGTTTTTGTTTTCTAAGAAACTGAGAAGCTGATTCTAGAAGGTATATGAACACACAAAGAATTTATGGGAAGTCCCGCTCCTGGTTAGAAGCCTATGTATGATGTTTCAGGCCATAGATAATTAATTACAAAGGCTTTACCTGGCTGGTTTACAGGGTGTGGAGAGGCTGTTCTGCCCACCCCAGACTTGGTGCACAGCCAATGCATTGCAGTCTTTGAAGGGAGTTGCAGTCAAGGACCCCCTGGCTGGTCACGCCCTTGTGCATATTTATATTGCCAGCTCAGGATCCTTCATTCTTAGGTCTCTTTTTCTGAGGCCTATGTAGAGGTCTTCTTCAGGTGCCTCTGTCAAGGCCTCCTAATAGGAGAGGAAGAGAGAGCCTTAAAGACACTTTTCTCCACTCTGAGTACCCAGTGAGTTTCCACTTTCTCCTTGCAGGGCTCCCCAACAGTGAGACAACTCCATGTCTGTGCTAATCCAACTAACACTTGACCAGTGCCATTTCCACAGGGAAAAACAGAACAGGGGGAGTCAGTAATTTCTCTGGCTTTAGACTCTTGCTTACACTATTGAAGGAGGTAATTAAAGATTTAACTCTTTCCTTTGGGGCTTGTTGCTTTAATTGGCTCACTACCTGGATGCAATATACCCATGTAACAAACCTGCATGTGTACCCCCTGTATCTAAATAAAAGTTGAAATTTTAAAAAGAATAAATATGTTAAAATGAGTACCTAAGTCCTCAGCACTCTTTTTCAGCTATGCTGAGCTCCTGACACTCTAGAATATTCAAAACAATATTTAGAAAGAACACATTTGGAGTCCTTTCACTGTCTGACCAAGACTTACTATAAACCCACAATAATCAAAGTAATGTGGTACTGGCAAAAGGGCAGACAAATAAAAGATACACATTAAAACCACAATGAGATACCGCTAACCATCCACATACCCACTCAAGTTAAACCACCTGGCAACACCAAATGCTGGCAAAAATTTGGAGTCCCAGAACTCACATATATTGTTGATGAAAGTGGATAATAGTACAACCAATGTGGAAAATGTTCTAATAGTTTCTTATAAAACTAAACCCCTCTGATCATCTACCCCTATGAGCCAGCAATTATACTCCTAAGTATTTACTTAAGAGAAATAAAGGCATAAATCTACAAAAAAAGACTTAAACTGGAATGTTTACAGAAAGTGAATTCATCATTGCCAAAACCTGGAGATATCTTGAACGTCCATCTACAGGAGGCTGGCTAAACAAACGGTAGTATATCTATATGGTTACATATTCCACTGCCACAAAAAGGAATGAAGTACTGATACACACAACTTGAACAAATCTTAAAAATATTATTCTGGGTGAAAGAAGTAAACAAATCTTAAAACCATTATTCTGGGTGAAAGAAACTTTGCACAGAAGAGCGTATGATGTTATTCCATTTATATAAAATTCTAGAAAAGAATAATTTATAATGAAAAAATCAGAACACTAATTGCCTCTAAGGAGTTAGCAGTGGGAAAAACTAAAGGCATGAGAAAACTTTGGAGATAATGGTAATATTCTACAATTTGGTAGGTTACACAGTGTATGCATTTGTCAAAACTTGTTTAACGGTATTCAAGATTTGTGTGTGGTGCTGTATGCAAATTTTACCTGAAAAACACCTTGAACTCCAGTTAATTATACACGTGCTGAACTGCTTAGAAGTGAAGTATGCCTCCAACTGACTTTTCAATGAATTAAAAAATTAGATGGATTGATGGATGAATAGAAGGATGGATAGATGGATAGTTATGTGGTAAAGCAGTAACAGTTTTATCCAGAACCTAGGCGGTGGGTACATGCATGTTCACTGTATAATAGTTTCAGCTTCTATAGATGTTTGAAAATTCTCATAATAAAATGGAAAATAATGGCATGATTCTGTGTATTTTTTAATAAAATCAACTTTGAAATATGCTGATAAGAACCACATTGCTAATTAAAGAAGTGAAGTACAGGAAGGTTTGGGCTGTGTGTTTCTGTGTAAAAGAAGGAGGAGTCAGATTTACATAAACTTGAACAAGCAAGAACTATTATTTCTAAGAACATGTAGCAAAATAATTACAAGACTGTCTCTGGAGAAGGAACTTACCTTTTGTTCTCTGTTATAATTGAATCATTAACCAGGTGCATGTATTAATTCAATAAATAAACACATTAAAATTCAATGAGAGTTTAGTATCCATAACATTCCCCGAGAGAAAAATCTAGAGACCACTGCAGTTTGAAAAGCATGAAAAGGGAGAGGAATATGTTTGCTGTTTTTTGTTTTTTGTTTTCCAAACAAAGAGAATACTGATGAAGAAACAAAGATTTGGAATTTAGTAAAGAATAGGGATCATTTGTTAATTTTCAGAAGCTTTTAGGATAAATAAAATGAAAAAGATGCTGGGTTATTTTGGCATAGAGTTTGATACACTTGACTAAAAGATTTAAAAATATACCTACATGTCAAGAAAAACTGAAGTATTCTATACCTTTTACTACTTCTACTTAGCAGAGTTTATCTTGAGCCACTGTCCGTGGCATGTCCAATAAGTTGTAAAGGCTTCACACACACTCCTCATATGAACAAGTTGCTGAAATATTGTTAAAGTGTCACATTTTGTCCATTATAAGGTAAATTGTTTTTCACAATTCTATTTTCTTTGAAATACGGGTAAGTCCTATAATCAATCTTCACCTTTAATGTGGTAGTACTAAACACCACCCAAAAGTAACAATTAGATATTTAATAGAACATCTTATAATAGAGAGAATCTCAGAATCAAATAAATAAGATGGGTTAGTTTTTGCAAGCCTGTCTTTCTGGAGTTTCCTAGTATTCTTTAGAGTGTTAGGCCTATCATTCTCAGTTACCCACCAGACTGTACTTTACTAAGGCACAGGCAACTGCAAGAGTCAGACAATACTTGATAGTGTTGATATTGACACTTGAGATTTGTGATCGCATAGGCATTGATTTGAGTCCTGACTCTGTTACTTACTCTTGGATTATATGAACTTGGATAGGTTATTTAAGGTCTCTAGGTCTTATCTGTAAAATTTCCTAATCCGTAAAAATAGTGTGATGATAATAAATAGCCTAGCCAAAAAAATAGACTTAAATAAATGTATGAAAAGTAGAGTAAGTGCTCAAAAACTTAGCTCTGCTTTTATGCAAAAATAAACTATTTTAAGCAGTTACATGATACGAGAAATCAGCTTGATAATGGAAAAAGATCATACCATTGTGGTCAAGTTTTACACAAACATGATCTGTTTCGTGGCCTAGACTGAGTTGAATTAGAATAGAAGAAACCATATTACAAGTATTCAGGAATTAAGCAAAGACAAAAAAAAATAGTTATGACTGTGATAACTGAAACAAGGGAAGAGATATAAGAGACAATGCATTTAATTTGTGAATTGACAAATAAGGTAGGTGAGGAAAAAAGAGGCTTATGGAATTCTTGAACCTAACATGCAAGAAGAGCAGGGATGCAATTTATTGGGAGAGGGGAATTGAGGAATAAGAGCCCGTTTATTGGTGTGTGTACGTGTTGGGGGAGGAAGGAGTTCAGTTTGGGACAACCATGAAGACCCAGCAGACAGCTGAAATACTGTAATGAAGTTCCCTTATATTCTAACATATTACTTTTAGTTCTTTGAAGTCAATTCTGCACCCCACTTTTTGCTCTACACCCAGACAGTAGCACAGATTGGTGTTCAGTAATGACAGATGGAAAAGTGATGGGAGAATGGTGGTGAGTGGCTGGTGCATGCTGTGAGACTTGTGCATGAAGACTCATCCTGAGTGAAGAGCCACACGGTTCCACCAGGGGGAAGACTGATTTTTGCATATCATGCAGAAACTCAACCACCTGTTAGAGGAGGGAAACAGAGTGGGAAGGAACTACGCTGTAGGAAGGAAAGATGAACTTGAGTTTCACTTCTTAGTGCCTTTTCTCAGGGGAGAGGCCATCACTTGAAGATGCTGAGTCTTCTGCTCCTTCTCCTGGGACTAGGTATGAGCCTTGTCTTTTGAGGAGTCTGGGGTTAATGTTAACACTGGGTGGAAAGGTGGAAAGACTTTCTCTCCAGAGAGTCTGAAGCCACCAGACAGAAGATGAAGGGGATATGTTAGATTAAAGAACCATAACAGAGTAATTGTTGGCACAATAAAAAGGAGGCAGTTCCCTGGGGTCCTTTGGGAGCTGAGGTGGTATTGGAGAGATAAAGCAGAGACCTTCCTGCCTGGGGAGATGTCTGACCCCAAGCTTGTCGGTCCTCATGAATATCTCTCTGGAACTAGGCTCTGTGTTCAGTGCTGTCATCTCTCAAAAGCCAAGCAGGGATATCTGTCAACGTGGAACCTCCCTGACGATCCAGTGTCAAGTCGATAGCCAAGTCACCATGATGTTCTGGTACCGTCAGCAACCTGGACAGAGCCTGACACTGATCGCAACTGCAAATCAGGGCTCTGAGGCCACATATGAGAGTGGATTTGTCATTGACAAGTTTCCCATCAGCCGCCCAAACCTAACATTCTCAACTCTGACTGTGAGCAACATGAGCCCTGAAGACAGCAGCATATATCTCTGCAGCGTTGAAGACACAGTGCGGGGCACAGATCAAAGATCTGAGCAAGAACCTCAGCTCTCTCCTACCCAGCTCCTCTCACACGAGCCTGAAGGCCCTGCCAAGGTGGGACAGAAGGAGGAAACCACAGCTTTTGGGCAGACACAGCTGTTTCTGTGTTTGTGGGTGGGCATGGGTATGAATGGATAGACTGGGGATGAGGAGAGCATCTGTAGGACTAGCTGGAGCGTTCTATCCACAGGCAGGAAGAGTGGCTCCTGGAAAGCTGAGGGTAAAATTTCTTCTAGAAGGGTGCTCAGAAATACCCAATAAAAACAATCAGATACAGTTTCCTTCAAGTGGCGGGGTCAGTAATAGCCTTTAACTGTTTTATCTCAAGGCTCTTTTTAGCTGGTTTTCTATCATAATATATTTTGGAAGAACTTTAGTCATCTTGAAACAAAGCTGGTACATTATATTAATGACATCTGGTTGTTCTCAGTGAATAGGAATGATAAAGCCCTCTAGATGCTTCAATATGACAATATGACACATGCATCCCAGGCCAATATAAAATCTGCAAAGTTCAGGAACCTTCTATACTGGTGAGTTTTGGAGTGGTCCAGATGTAAGAAGTAAGCTGCTGCACCTTAGATCATGTACCACGGAGAAAGAGGTGCAATGCTTAGTCTTTGGACTTTGAATTAAACTTTGGATATACTGCATTTGATTGTGCTACTCTATCCCATTTACTATGTAATCTGTAAAGCTGGGGCCAGTGCAAGAGAGGGTTCTGTGGCAGAAGAAGCCCATGATGAAAGCTTCCTGCTGCTTGGGCCATGGACTAAGCAGACCCAGTTGTTCTTGAAGAGCCTATGGTAGATACTGATGCCCTGTGGAGCTCCTGACATTCCCCAATACGAGAATCACAAGGCAGTGTGGAACAGGTTTGCTGTGCCCTGATTTGCACTTCAGACCATTGCATCTTGGGCTATACTTTTGTTGCTTTCCAGATCCCAGAGAGAAAGAATGCTCACACACACAAATTACATGAGGAGTGTTTATTACTTACATACAGGCAGCAAGGGAAAACAGAGGCCTAAGATTCAGGGAAAGCCAGTCCCACTAGGCTCAGGAAAGCTGCCCAGGGTGGATGAAATCTTGTCTGTGCCTTCCCTACTTGCACTGCCACTGAGGGACCTCAGAGAGCAGCCACCCTGGGTTTTATATCTTAGAGCAACTTGACATGCTTGGCAAAGCATTGAAGGACATTCTATTTCTAGAAGGGACTGGAACAGAGCCCTGGCTGTTCTGGCCAGTTCCTCCTTATCTCAGGATGTTACAGTCCCAGAACATTGTACAGTTATTTTTGAGAACTACAAGCAAGAAATAGGGGAGTACTGAGTTTGTCCAAGGCCACCTGGAGAATTGCCCTGCAGACAGGTGCAGAGTTTTGGTGTAAAGCCATACTCTTACCGGCCAACGATCCCCTTTCTTTTGAAAAGTTGCTCCTGGCTCTATAATGGATGCCTCATAATGGCATTCAGAACAAGGTATTATCTGATCTGCAAAACTGTAAATTTGGCTGTGCCCAGAGCATTCTGTTATTAAATGGAAAATACATAATCAAGACCATACTTAAGCACAGCTGGAAAAAGGCACGATTCAATTTCAAGAGCACATCTCAGAGTCTCATGCTACCCACTCATACTTTTCTCCTCTTACCTTCAAACCACACCCAAGTTTCATGGAAATTCCATATTTCCAGTTGAGAAACATGAGCTTATTTTTTTGATGGGTCTTCACATTATTCTGGAAGGATCATTACAGTCTAACCAAGTATGGTTCTGAAAGGTAGTGGTGAAGGGAAATCTTCTCGGGGCCAAAACTTAAATTGGTATACCTGATTGTTGTCCACATTTTATTGAAGAAGAGATGGCCAGAAGTATAGCTATATCTTATGTTCAATTTTCTTTCATACTATCATCTAGTCTCCTTACCTATTCAGTCATATTTTTCTTCTTTTTGCTTCTCTATGCTACAATCTGGGTAATTTCTTTAAAACTACTGTTTAGTTTACTAATTCACACCTCAGCTCCAGTAAGCCTCTAATTTAATCTTTCAACTGACTTTGTTCATCTAAATTATATTAATTTTTATTTCTAGAAAATCCACTTGGGTCATTTACAAATATGAGTGGACATTTTTGAAAGCATCTTGTTCCTTGTGTATTTTAAAATTATTTTCTTTTTATAAGTATATTAAGCATCTACTGGGAATTATTATCTGACAATGCCAGCATTTGATGCCTTTTTGCATCTGGCTTTCAGTGGTCTGCTGGCTCTCACTCAGGGTAGCCTATTTCCTTGTACATTATGTAAGTTAATGTGAATTCATCTTTCAGAATTCTTTAAATACTGGAGTAAAAGTGGGTTTTCTAGGAAAATTCATGTTTGCCTCTGTCAAGAAATTGGGGCGCTACAGACCTAATATCATTTTATTTTATAATTCTCAGTATATATCTTCTTGGTCATAGAATGTCTATCTCAAACCCCAATGGGCTGACTGTTCAGTGACCATGAATATTCAGAGGAAATTTTTTAAAATCCTTCACCCAAAGCCAAGACCAAGACAAATAATATTCTTTGTTAATTGCTTCTAGGATTAGTTTTCTAGCTCATCCTTTCACTAACTGTGTATCTCTTTGTGTACCTCACTTTAAAAAGCAGTGATTCCTGTCTAGTTTCTGGTCCATGTAAGGTCTCATGGGCCTTCTCCAGTTTCCATGTGTACTAATTCTCCAGGTCACAGGAATGCACATGTATACCTGTTTTATCTCATGGGCTCAGTGCTAGCTTACCTTCCTGGCCCATGCTCCCATTACCATAGGAAGTTGACAAATTTACCTACAGTGAAGCCTTGGATTATGAAGCACCTTCCTATATTACAAAATTGCCTCTTTAAAAGCAGTAAAGCACTGTGGTTAGGAACTTGAACTTTGTCAAGTGACAGACCTAAGTTTAAAACTTGGTTCTTCTGCTTTAACACTAGGTGTAACCTTAACAAGTTACACAATTTCTCCATGCCTTAATTTCTCCATAGAAAATAAGAATAATAGTGAGTTTTTAAATGTAGGTTTTTTAAAATAAGAAAGTGATACAATTATCTGTATAAAAAGCACATAGAGACAAAATATGCAATTAGTGTAGTTGCTACCTAAACGTATTTCTCACTATAAAAACATATTTTACCACTGGCAATTCCTTCCTCAAGAATAAGTATGGCCCTCTCTCAGAAAATTTTATCATTACAATTGTTTCTCTTTTAGCTATTTTAATTAAATAAAAAATTTGTGGTATTATAAAATATGCATATTATCAAAATAAAAAAGTCAAAATCACTCAGTTTAATAAAATTAGATCATACAATATGTAGTTTTAGAATTTATTCCCTTAACCCAACAATATTTCATGAATATCATTTCATGTCAAAAATATTTTACATTAACTTTAATAAGAATAGTTCGATATACTGATGACCATCCTTCATACAATCAAAACCCATGACAAGGTATATATCCATAGGCTAGATGACAGGGTTATTTAATTTTAAATAGCAATTGTTTGTGTGCGTTGAATTATTTCTGTTGCAGACTCAGAAGGAAATCATGAAAGCCCTAAGTCTACCTGCAGATGGCTGGTTCTTTTTTATTCAGGTGTTAACTTAAATGCCACCTCCCCAAAGAGACCTTTCCTGACCACTCTACGTAACAGCACTTCAGCAGTCATGCCATATTATCACTTTATCCTATTTTAGTAATATGTACTCATCATTTACTGAAAGTGATGTATGTGCATCCCATTTCTATACCTCCTCATATGTGCATAAATGCATGCACATGCACACATGAATGCACTGAAAACAAGAACCTTTTCTGTCTTCTTCGTTGCTGCTTCCAAATAGCCTAGAAGAACTCTTGGAATATCACTCCAGGAATTCAATAAATATTTGTGAGTAAATAAATACATTTCAAAGATAAGAGGAAAATTTATACAGCTGCAGTGGATTTCCCTGGTGGAAAACTCTACAAAGGCATTTGAGTTTAGATAATCTAAGCCCATAAGAAAATTAACTAGATTATTCTAACAGGAAAGGAATAAGCACTTCAAACTTTATATTTTTTATTCTTGTTTTAAATTTATGTTTTAGTTGCGGGGAGGATACAAAAAGATTAAAGGACACAAAATTACAGCTAGATAGGAGGAATAAGTTCCAGTGTTTTACAGAACTGTAGGAGGACTACAGATAACAAGCATTGTATTTGAATAGAAAGGTCCATATGTCATGTGCCAACCCCGTTCTGCTGCCTTACCCAAGACTGGGAAATGGAACAGATGATATGGGTTCTATAGAGAGGCAAAGTGCAGAACCTGCTCAAACACAGTGGCCCTGGGGTGGAAAGTTCTCAATTGGAATTGTGTTGGTGCCTGTGTGGATGGAGCATTCAATTCTGAGCCTTAGGAGCCTTTTGAAGGCCCTCCTGGCCAAGATGATCTTGAGGAAATGACTGACCCATTGGCTGCCTTCCAAATGGATGACACAGTCTAGACTTTTATAAACTACATGAGTAGAAGGAACCCAGTTGACTGGATTTATCACCAAACCTAGCTTGTGAGCCTCAGTCTAGAGCTAGCATAATTTAGAAAAATAAATGCATACATCATATATTAAACTCTGAGTATCATGAAACAGATCCTAGATGTTACAATAATAAGAACCTACATGGGTGTTTCTCCTGCACTCTGTCCTGGCTTTCTTCTGCTTCTTGTCTAAGGGAGCCTGGACTCACTTAAGCAGCTCTAATAGGCCAAACAAGAGAGTGGTCAAGGAGTGGCTGAAATGTGAACAGAAAGACTCACCATTATATTAGAGCAATCAATCTATCCTTAAAATACTGTGGGTTTAGTGTCAAGTGCTAGAGGCTTCCCCATTTACCCATACATGGAAGCCTGAAGAATAAACAGAACTATAAACTTCCCTCTGGGCATAAAACTTGCATGTCTTCCATGGCTTCAAGCTGGGGAGCAGCTGGGCAGGCAGAAGGAGGGGCAAGAGGCAGTCAAGAGGAGGGGCGGGAGGCAGGCGGGGAGGAATGGGCTACTCCGTTTAGCTGATCAGCCTTGACCAGTTCATGCTCTGGGACTCCATCTTACAAGTCAGACTTTTCCGAGTCACACAGAGCACTCCCTTCACTCTCCAGATTCAATGATTCCTGGGATGATATAGTAACGAAAATAATTCCTTATTGGATAAAGAGAAATTGTGCTGTGCGGGAGATAAGTAGCTTAGAAAAAAAAATGGATGAGGAGAGGAGCTGGGAGTTTGGGGGTAAGACAGCCTAAAATCTGACAGTCTGGTTGGGGAACGATAAAAGATACTGGAACCCAAGGAGGAGATCAGTAAGAATGTAGGAGAAAGATCTGGTGGGATTTGGAGAAGAAAGTGTTAAAAAATAAAATTGGAATATGACAGTTTGCAGACTACTAGGTCTGAAAGACGCAACTCTGTAGCAACATGAAGGGGAACAAACTTTGTCTGAATAGGGAAGTTTCTAGTATGATCTCTGCTTTCCTTAGACAAGTAACCCTGGAGAAGACACTTGACCTCTGAGCTTTAGATTGTTCATCTGTAAAAAGGAGAGAACAATATCTGCTGCCTACCACCTCAGTGAGGCTGCACTAAGGATCAGCTCAGAGGAGGCAAAGCAGAATGCCCTATTGCACAGCATGGAGGCCCTAGAGTCGGACCACCATACTTACATCCCATCTTTAAAACCTCCTGGCTGTGTGGCCTTGAGCAAGCCACTTCACCTCCAGAAAGTTCATTTGATCATCTGTAAAATGGGCAATCCCATAGGTGGTTGTGATGATAAAATGAAAAAAACATTTTTAACTTACATGAGTTACATGCTGTAGAGTAAGTTATGTGGTATATAGTAAGCACACAGAAAAGACTCACTGTTATCAAAATTAAAGGAAAGTGGTTTAGTGTGCTAAGCACTAAATACAAGCCAGAGAGATGTCTTGAGAAGTAGACAAAGAAATCTACAATTCAGAATGAACAGTAACAAGAATGACATGTCCTCCAAATTGAGCTTTGGCAGCTGGATCTGAACCTATCCTACACATCTGAGTCTACAGTATGAGGTAACAGTCTCCACCTATAGCTATCTTCTCTGCCTGTAAGGTCATTCCTTTCTGAAGAAAGCTGACCTCAGACTATTTTGCGATCATTTAAGGAAGAGCGCAAAATACTGGAGAAGGCTAGTCTTCAAGCTCTAGATACAGAAAATCCTCAAATTCTTGGGTGTTCCCTTTCAGACTGAGAGTCAGAGCCACAAGCACTGATCCAAAAATCCCCTTTTCCAAAAAAATTTTCCATCTTCTACCAAGGTTCACCTCCCTGTTTAGTGCACACTAGTATCTACAGTTGTTAGAGCAGGAGTCTCTCCTTATCCTCTAAGGCAGGTGTTCTGTGAAGACCCCATGACAAGGGACAAAATGAAACAACATGTTCAGGGACAACAAAGGAAAAGCCCATTTTATCAATGCTCCAAAACCTGGCTACCTCAGGCTTGGCAAGTTATTCGTGAGCAGAGAAGTTTGTCATCTACATGGCAGTCATGGCCTGGATGGGTCTCGAACTGTGGCATGGTAATGCTCTGAGACTAGGTGCCAGGAGAAAGATAAATTCAATCATCCATTTCTACCAGGAAGAAAAGCACCAGGAAGGAATCAGATGTACAGTTTGTCCTCTAGGGACCTCTGTCTTGATCCTCAATAAATCTCCTTTTAGATACCTCCTCTTAGATGAAATTCCCACACTTCACAATGCTCTCCATGGCTTCTGTTGGCCTTATGGTCAGCTCTGCCAAGATCTGTATTCTTGGGCAAGACAGAATCCTTCTGAATCTCAGTCTCTTGCTCTATAAATGGAAACAATTTTGCTCTGCACAAATTACAATTAGCATGTTTGTGGGAAGTTAAAGTGTGAAACTCAGCATAAATGAAAAGTAATGTACCACTGTTGCTTACATGAAAACTCTTGTAAAGTTGTCAGGCACTGTGCACCATCTAAGCATAGCAGTGTTAGGTATGGGCCCATTAGTGATTAGAGGGGGTGCGAGGCGGAGAGGGGGTCTCCAAGCAGTGGGTCTCCTGGCTGTGGGGAAGCTGGCTCAGCAGCCATACCAGGAGCTGAAACCGAAGGTACTCTGTGTGTCCTCTCAACACCATGGGCCCCACTTTGGCATTATTTCCAATTCCCTCTGGTTTCCATTTGCTTCCTCCCTCTAGCCCCCTGGCCAGGTCCGATTTCAACACCAAGTTTCTGAGCTTTTCCCATTTTGTCCACCGTCTCTAGAACATTTCTGCTTCTTTTACCTTTCAAAGAATCCAAACTTGAACTCTACTTACTCCTGCCCATCACCAGCCTGAGCTCAGAGTTGCTGAGAAGGGAAAGCACCCTCATAAGGAAGCTCCTCCTTTCCCTACATCATTAGACTTGAGCACAGACAGCATCTCCATTTCCACACTGCTCTGGCCAGGTTGTGCCTCAGTCAATTACACAACTGTGTCTTAGTAGCCTTGGTAGGGCCCAAATCAGGATATTCTCTAGGAAGATTCACTTTGTACTGAGCCAAGCATAATCTCACTGCATCGAAAATAGAAAATGATCATCTGATCATTCTGGTTCAGACTGTCAGCCCTGAGCAGGTGGGTCAGTTTGCATCACCTGAGTGCAGATTGCAAGGACAACAGTGAGGCTGCATAAAAAGAACCTATGACAGGATGCACATGAGAGAGACAAATGTCTTCACATTGAAGAAGGGGAGGAGTGCGCCATTGGTTTTCCATCCTCCAGAGGCACTGAGAAAGCTCCTACAGAAACTGTGCCCCCTCCTTCTTTGAAACACTTCCCATCCTTAAGCCTTGGTAGGAAGGAGAGAAATCTGGAAGCCCAGAATCCTATGGAATGCTGAGTCTCCCTTCTCCTTACCCCTTAGTGTTGGAATTTTCATTCCCCAAAATCTTGCATTTGACCTTCCTGCACACTGACTGGAGAGAAGCATCTTCATATTCACAGGAATGAGCCTTAGATAAGACTTTGCTCCTCTCATGTGGGCCCCAGGAAACTGAAATCCAAGCTTTTTACCAATGCTTGCCCTTCCTTAAGTACATTAAATACATTCCCAATAGGTGGAAAGATTTGTAAACAGCTAGGCCATTCTCCCTCCTTCTAACCCTCATCTCCAGGGCCTAAGAAAGCCCAGCTCTGTTATCTGGGGCTTGACTTTCCCTGTCTTCCCCATCCCAGTATCCTTGCAGGAAACAGCCGGTCTCGCTCTCTGCTCTCAGAAGGAAAGTTTCCTTATCACCTGTGAATCACAAACCCAGAGAGTGGCCAAACATAGCCAGGCTGATGCAAGACCCTGGGAAGAGGAAAGCTGCAGGTGTGTTTGTGCTGGGAGGAGTGGTGACCCTCACCTCACAGTCACCTCCTCTCTGGATCCTCGTGAGGTATAAAGACGAGTCCTCCACCACCAGTCAGGCACACTCTACCACCATGAATCCACTCCTGATCCTTACCTTTGTGGCAGCTGCTCGTGAGTATCATGCCCTGCCTCAGGCCCCAACCACCCCCCCGTTCCTGGCCGACAAATGCCCTTCCATTCTTACCACCTCTCCTCTTTTGACTGTGCTCTGATATTCCGTTTCCTCCATCTGGCATATCTCCTTCCCATCCTCCTTGGGCTCTTTTTAAGTCTCACCTGTTCACCTTCTCCTTGACTTCACTCCCACCACTGTCATTCATCCATATCCGAGTTGTGGTTGGAGAAGCTGGGAAGGGGGCCAGGTGGGGCTGTCCCACGAAATGAAGCAGCAGGCTTCAGGCTTGGCTCCAACAGCAACAGAATAGCACCACTATAGCTGCTCCTAACCTCGAATGCACCTGGGGAGGTTGAAAAATTACTCATGCCAGAGACTCAGCTCTAGAAATTCTAACTTCAATTGTCTGGGGTAGAGCTTGTGTTCTGGGCTTTTAAGCTTCCCAGGTGATTTTTAATATTTCCAGCCATGCAGCCAAGGTTAAGAATTGCTGTCCTATTGGCCAATAACAAAGTCTACCTTTGTTCTGCCAAAGTGAGCCTGGGGGCTGCCCTCAACTCTGCCCTGACTGCACAGATCTGAGCTATGGGGGAAGGTGGTCATGGCCAGGTCTATGCAGACAGGGGGTTTTCCTAGCTTGGCAAAAGAATCCTGACAATCCAGGGCCCAAATAGCCAGGGGAAGTACACAGGTGATGAATAAAAGAGAGAAGCACTCAGTGGGAGAGACAACCACATCCCAACTCCTATCCCACTGGAAGCATTGTGAGGACATTCCTTGCGACTTCAGCCTGGTGACCCCAGGAGAGCTCGGATCCTCCGCAGGGTACCTAGCTATGTGCCCTGCAGGCACAGAGACTTGGGAGCCACAGGCAGTGATGATCACCAGGGGTGGCAGAGCTCCCTCCCTTGCCTAGCCTCACTGTGCTTGTTAAGGATTTCTAATTAGCAGAAAGCAATCACAGGCTGGGAGCGCCACCCCTAACATGCTATTGACTTGCCTTCTCCCTTCCCATCTCCACTCCAGTTGCTGCCCCCTTTGATGATGATGACAAGATCGTTGGGGGCTACAACTGTGAGGAGAATTCTGTCCCCTACCAGGTGTCCCTGAATTCTGGCTACCACTTCTGTGGTGGCTCCCTCATCAACGAACAGTGGGTGGTATCAGCAGGCCACTGCTACAAGTCGTAAGTGTGGGGCCCCCGACTGCAAAGCTCCCGGCCAGTCTGCCTGGGAGAGCTTGGCTTCAGCCCAGGGAACTACTGAGGTTGGGTAAGATGGATGGGAGAGGTGGTGGAGAAGAAAACTTGTTGGCAGCTGCGGACTCTCCAGAGCAGAGAGTGAACACAAGACAGGAACCTCTCACACCCAGGCAAATCCATGAAACAGCAAGGGTTGTGGTCATAAAAGCAGGCAGGGATGATCTTGGGGTGGTGAGAGCTAGTGAGAAAAGCAGGCAAGTATCTTTTGCTGGTTAGCTACACATTAAAGCCAACTAAGAAAGACTTTTTAAAAATACAGATGCCTTTGTCCTATCCCAGGGCAATTAAGTCAAAATTTTCAGGAAGAGGGTGTGAATATCAGTGAGAATTTTACACTCTACCTCTGCTAACTGTAGAGTGTATAGACAGAGCTGAGAACTGCTGCCTACACCAAGAACTCTCAAACCTGAGTATGCATCAGAACGCCCTGCAGGCTTGTTAAGGCACAAATCACTGGGCCCCTTCCCCAAGGTTCTGATCAGTAGGTGGGGGTAAGGACCAAGAATTCACATTTCTAACAAGTTCCCAGGAGATGCTAATGCTATGGCTACCCTTGGATTAGATTACACAGAAGGGTGGTTCTCACCAGGCCAAGAATGGAGGGAGGAACAGGCACTGTGCACAGTTGGCAAAGGCCTGGGGTGAAGAACGCTGGGAAAACTTCAAGGAGCTCCTTGTGCCCACAGTGCTAGTGACTGTGGAGATTGTGGGAAAGAGTCTGGGGAGGCAGGTTGAGGAGCAGCCTCTGGTGGGATCCCTTTGACTCTTCCCCACCCCACTACCACCAACCTCTGGAGCAGATAGGTCCTGGGTCTCATACCTTCACTGACCCACATCCCTCTGCTGCCCATGCGATATGGCCACACACCCCACCCCATGCCTCCAGAGCTGTCCATGAGCAGAGAGCTTGAGGAACCTGGGGAAGGTGGGATAGGTGCCCTGGCTGTGGGAGAAGGTCTTCACCATGCCTGCCCTGCCCATCAGCCGCATCCAGGTGAGACTGGGAGAGCACAACATCGAAGTCCTGGAGGGGAATGAGCAGTTCATCAATGCAGCCAAGATCATCCGCCACCCCCAATACGACAGGAAGACTCTGAACAATGACATCATGTTAATCAAGCTCTCCTCACGTGCAGTAATCAACGCCCGCGTGTCCACCATCTCTCTGCCCACCGCCCCTCCAGCCACTGGCACGAAGTGCCTCATCTCTGGCTGGGGCAACACTGCGAGCTCTGGCGGTGAGTGGGACCCTTAGTCCTTCTACTTCCCTCCATCCTCACAATTTCCAGAACAAACCATGCCCCTTAACTTGAATCCTCTCACCTCCAGGCTTAAGACACATTTCGAGTGCCCATTACACACAGACTCTGCACTGGGCACCAGAGAGATGCAAACTATCAAGGACTTGGCTCCTAAAATCAAGAGACAGGACAAATGGAGAACTTGATATGATCACATCTTGGGAGGGGTTCAACAATGATCATTCTGGGAACTAAAAGCCAGAGTCTCTTGCCAGGACTTATGTTCTGGAGTCCTCTCCAGGGGCTGTGTTCCTCTTCAGTTTTCCATCCAAGATTATTGTCTCCTTCTCTGGCCTGACCCACATTTCTACTTCCTTTGATCTCTTCCTGATCCTCACAGCCGACTACCCAGACGAGCTGCAGTGCCTGGATGCTCCTGTGCTGAGCCAGGCTAAGTGTGAAGCCTCCTACCCTGGAAAGATTACCAGCAACATGTTCTGTGTGGGCTTCCTTGAGGGAGGCAAGGATTCATGTCAGGTGATTTGACCAACCCTTCCCATGCTGAGGCTCCCACTGATACCTAGGCCCCACCAGGGAAAAGGATTTGAACTCAAAAGGTGGTGGGGCTGAGGAGGCTCCCTGCAGTGCCCACATGGAGAAGTGAGGAAGACTCCCTTGGGCTGCATCTTGTCTGCTTAGGAAGAACAGAGAATGGGCCACCATGAGAAGGACATGGAGCCACAGAGCTGGCTGGAAAGGGGTCTTTTAAGGTTCAGAGTAAATGTAGCTATATTCCTCCTCCATCTCTCCATACAACTTGTCCCTTCTTCCCCCCAGGGTGATTCTGGTGGCCCTGTGGTCTGCAATGGACAGCTCCAAGGAGTTGTCTCCTGGGGTGATGGCTGTGCCCAGAAGAACAAGCCTGGAGTCTACACCAAGGTCTACAACTATGTGAAATGGATTAAGAACACCATAGCTGCCAATAGCTAAAGCCCCCAGTATCTCTTCAGTCTCTATACCAATAAAGTGACCCTGTTCTCACTGTCTGTGTCTGTGCCTGCTCCCTCTCACTCCTTCACACTGGAAAGCATCCTCCAATTTCAGGTTAGACACGACTGTCCCCTTTAAAGGTAAGCAGAGCCCCCATCTCCCAAAATGTGTTCCATGGTACACTAGATTAGCACATACAAACAGATGGAATCCAAAAATAAGAAGAAGCTTGGGAGAAAGGGGAGTACTGTTTTCTAGAGATACCTGTTTCAGAAAGGTGGTCTTTGGGGTGGGGGGGTGGGTATTGATTTTTATTTGGGCTTCTCACAGTAGTTAGAGCTACTCTGCCTTCAGAACAATTACAGCACAGAAAATGTGTCAGCATCTTCGAGGTGGCCCAAAAAACTTGACCAGCTGAATCTTCTTGCTAAAATACAATAATAATGACAAATCCTGTTGGTGATGACGTGCCTCTCCCAGGAATGTGTCGGCACCAAACCCTCGACCAAGCCCTCCCTTCTCATTCACCTGGAAAATCAGATGCAAATAAATCTCCCTGGCCGCCTAACTCTTCCCTCAGTTCCCTAGTTCCATCTCTGTGAGCAGGCTAGAGAGATGTTCCACCTACCATAGCAGGAGCCAGACTGCGACTTGGGAATCAAGCGCAGATCTACACACTGGGCTTGATTTTCGTCTTCTTTGCCTTTGGGGTAGGATGCCACAGTGAATCCCACAGCTAACACCAGCTCCTCACTCTGACCAGGGAAAGAAACTAGAGAGGGTCAGGATTCACCTATTTGATCAATTAGCTGAGGAAGGATTCATTTTCATAAAACTTGCTTGACTTTGAGACACTTCAAGTGAGTTATTTGGGATTCTTTAAAAGGGGTGGAAGGAAAGATCTGAGGACTGTGACACCACCAGCCACTCTGACCACACGTTGGCTGGCTTGAACCCACTGGATGCAGCAGAGGGAGGCAGGCCCTGTGGCACCTCTGGCACCTGCCAAAGCCTCCTCCTGGCAATTCTGAGAGGGCCCATGTTGGGGCTGTAGCTCATCCAAGCTTGGCACCGAAGATCCAAGGAAGCTTCTCTTTGAAATTCCACCTTCACCTCTGTCCCAAGTGGTTGTGGACACCCCTGGGAGCTGGCACTAAGGGCCAGGAGCAGCCAAGGGAGACAGACAAGTTCAGAGCACATTTCCAGTTACAGGGAACAGAGCACAGGCCTCCAAGTGTCCACAGAGCAGCGTGCAAATTGCAGGGATGAGTAGAGGAAAACCTCTACATGGAGCACAGCGTTCCTGGCAAACACAGGGGACTGCAGTCCACATGCTGTGGAATACACCCAAGTATGCATCAGACACTTGTTTGGTAAACAGTAAATGTGTAAGATCAATTACCTTGAGAGGGCCATCTGGGCTCCAGATGTGTGACTTGTGTGAGGAGACGGCTACCACTCACTATCTCCAGAGGAAAACAGGGCTCAGGGCTCGCACACAATGGATAGATACACACGGGTCACCCAGAACATCAATACATACAAACATCACTTTGTTCAACATGGATTTTGTTTTTATGGAGTCCAAACGCAGACCGTAGTTCACCTTACAGCCTTGGGTTTGTCTGCTTTTGGAGATATATATCCAGTAGATAGATAGACAGACAAGACAGATAATTTTTTCCCTTTCTTACTATAATATCAATGCCTTATCTGAATATCATCATCACTCAAGAGTCAAGGGAAGAACCAAACGCTTCATATAAACAGGGCTGGGCTGGGCAGGGAGTGTTAGTTTCCACTGTTTTCTGTCTCCATTCAGATCATCCCTATCAAAGCCCAGCTGGTCACCTCAAGCCAAGACACAGACATAAGGATCCCAATGGCCTTCCAGATGGCTGCTTCCACCTCCCACCTGGGCCACTAAGACTCTTTACACAGGAAAGTGAGTCACCCCAGTGAGAAGGGTTGCCAGAAGAAACAGGGCATGAAAATCACAGATAACCATGGGATTTCTTCCAAGTGGTCAGTATAAAATATACCAACACTACCATCACCAAAAACACAAAACAAGCAAAAACATGCTTATTCAAAATCCTAGACAAAATACTGTGTGAGAGCCAGGCCACGGGGTTGCCTTTTCACAGGCCACACAGCTTTCCCAGTCCATGTACTCACGTGGAACCGTGAGATGTGAAAGTCTGCAGGGTGTGTGCTCAGGATCGAGGCTGGTACTGTTCACCTATGGGTCCAGACCAAAGGGCAATAAGGCAGAAAGCTGATATCTGTCCACCGCCACGGCTTAGGGCCTCCTTCTCACAGAGGCTCCTAAGAGCCCCCACCTCAGCCTTCACACAAAACATCTCCTTCTGGCTGAACTACAGCCAGGCTGGAGTGCCGTGGCATGATCTCTGCTCACTACAGTCTCCACCTCCCGGGTTCAAGTGATTCAGCCTCCCAAGTACCTGGGATTACAGGCACTCGCCACCATGCCCAGCTGATTTTGTTTGTTTGTTTGTTTGTATTTTTAGTGGAGACAGGGTTTCACCATGTTGGCCAGGCTCATTTTGAACTCCTGACCTCAAGTGATCCAAGGTACTGGGATTACAGGCATGAGCCACCACTTCTGGCCCAGGACCCATTTTTTAAAAAAATTTTCAACTTTTATTTTAGATTCAGGGCATACGTGTGCAGGTTTGTTACATGGGTATATTGCGTGATGCTGAGGTTTGGGGCACAAATGTTCTTACCACTCAGGCAGTGAGAATAGTGCCCAATAGGTAGTTATTCAGCCCTTTCCACCCTCCTTCTCTCTTCCCTCTAGCAGTTACAGTGTCTACTGTTCCCATCTTTATATCCATGTGTACCAAATGCTCAGCTCCCACTTATACAGAAGAACGTGATATTTGGTTTTACATACCTGTGTTAATTTGCTTAGAATTATGGTCTCCATCTCCATCCACGTTGCTGCAAAGACATGATTTCATTTTTTCATAGCTGCATAGTATTCCATGGTGTATATGTACCACATTTCCTTTATCCAATCTACCGTTGATGGCCACCTAGATTGATTCCATGGCTTTGTTATTGTGAATAGTGCTGTGACGGACATGCAAGAGCATGTGTCTTTTTGGCAGACCAATTATTTTCCTTTGGGTATATGCCCAGTAAAGGAATTGCTGGGTGGAAAGGTAGTTCTGTTTTTAATTATTTCAGAAATCTCCAAACTGCCTTCTGCATTAATTTTTCCATAAACTAATCGACAGTCAGGCCAAGAGTGTATAAGCATTCCCTTTCCTCTGCAGCCTTGACAGCATCTTCTATTTTTTTTTTTTTTTTTTTGACGTTTTAATAATAGCCACTCTGCAGCCAAGCTCTTTCAAGGCCAATGTGGGGTAGAGCCACAAACATCCCTTTTCCGGAAGAGAATTCTTGCCTGCCCACTGGTAGAATTCTTGTTTTCATCTGTCTTTTATTATTTGTTTTTCAAAGAAAAACTGGCCTGTAATCCCAGCACTATACGTGGCCGAGGCGGGCGGATCACGAAGTCAGGAGATAGAGACCATCCTGGCTAACACAGTGAAATCCCGTGTCTACTAAAAACATAAAAAATTAGCCGGGTGTGGTGGCAGGTGCCTGTAGTCCCAGCTACTCGGGAGGCTGAGGCGGGAGAATGGCGTGAACCTGGGAGGCAAAGCTTGCAGTGACCTGAGATCATGCTACTGCACTCCAGCCTGGACAACAGAGCCAGACTCTGTCTCAAAAAAAAAAAAAGAAAGAAAAGAAAAGAAAAAAAAGAAAAACCAAAGGTAAAGTGGTAAGATCTTCCACACCTGAACCAGTTTGTAGCCACCAGAGCCTGCTGCGAAGGGGCCCCTCAAGCATGCATTCATCTTGTCACCTGGAATTTGAGAGATCAAGAAGCCCCATAGCAACCTACCATGCAACTGCCCATCAGTGCTGATCCTTTCAAGGGATTATCTCAATTCTGACTCTGCAGACACTGGCAGCCACAGGTGACAAACCCTGTGTATCTGTGGGCTTTCCTCATCACCCAGGGCCACAATGGGGTGCCTGCCCTAGGCAGAGACACAGCAACATTCTCTTAAACTGAAATTAAGCATAAATCCACTTCACCAATAATCATCTGAGGGCTCAGTCCCTGTCTCCTTCCTCGGGGATTTTAAAACACACATTTCTCTGACCAAACAGGTAGGTGAGATCTGACTTTAAAGGGGGGAAATTGGGTTGAATTGAGGTATCAGGAATGGATCACAAGTGTTTTTGTGTGGGGACAGGCATCCACATCCCGAACTGTACCTGGAGATGGAGAAAAATGCAGGAGAGGAGAAGAGAAAAAAAGGAGGAAAAAGTGGCTGAAAGTATTTGAAAGCTTCTCTCATGGTTCTTTCTGGCTCTGGTTGCTTTTCCAAGGTCTTGAGTGCAGGCAGGGCCAGCTCTGGCTGGGAGCTGCTGCTCTGGGACATGGAAGAGTCACTTCACCTCCAGAAAGTTCATTCGATCATCTGTAAAATGGGCAAGCCCATAGGTGGTTGTGATGATAAAATGAAAAAAAAACATTCTTAACTTACATGAGTTACATGCTGTATAGTAAGTTATGTGCTATATAGGAAGCACACAGAAATGATTCACTGTTATCATAATAGAAGGACAGTGGCTTGGTGTGCTAAGCACTAAATACAAGCCAGAAAAAATGTCTTAGAGAAGTAGACAAAGAAATCTATAGTTCAGAACCAACAGTACCAAGAATGACATGTCCTCCAAATTGAGCTTGGGCAGGTAGATCTGAACCTATCCTACACATCTGAGTCTATGATATGAGGTAATAGTCTCCACCTATAGCTATCTTCTCTGCCTGTGAGGTCATTCCTTTTTGAAGAAAGCTGACCTCAGACTATACTGTGATCATTTAAGGAAGAGCACAAAATACTGGAGAAGGCTAGTCTTCAAGCTCTAGATACAGAAAATCCTCATATTCTTGGGTGTTCCCTTTCAGACAGAGAATCAGAGCCACAAGCACTAATCCAGAAACCCCCTTTCCCAAAAACGTTTTCCATCTCCTACCAAGGTTCACATCCCTATTGAGTGCTCACTAGTGTCTATAGTTGCTAGAGCAAGAGTCTCTCCTTATTCTCTAAGGCAGGAGTTCTGTGAAGGCCCCATGACAAGGGGACAAAATGAAACAACATGTTTAGGGACAACACAGGAAAAACCCATATTATCAAAGCTCCAAAACCTGGCTACCTCAGGCTTGGCCAGTTATTCATGAGCAGAGAGGTTTCTCATCTACATGGCAGTCATGGCCTGGATGGGTCTGGAACTGTGGCAAGATAAGGCTCTGAGACAAGGTGCCAGGAGAAAGATGAATTCAATCATCCATTTCTGCCAGGAAGAAAAGCACCAGGAAGGAATCAGATGTACAGTTTGTCCTCTGGGGACCTCTGCCTTGATCCGCAATAAATCTCCTTTTAGATGCCACGTGCAGCAATTCCCACACTTTACAATGCTCTCCATGGCTTCTGTTGGCCTTATGGTCAGCTCTGCCAAGATCTGTATTCTTGGGCAAGACAGAATCCTTCTGAATCTCAGTCTCTTCCTCTATAAATGGAAACAATTTGGCTCTACACAAATCACAATTAGCATGTTTGTGGGAAGTTAAACCGTGAAACTCAGCATCAATGAAAAGCAATGTACCACTGTTGCTTATGAAAACTCTTGTAAAGTTGTCAGGCACCATGCACCATCTAAGTACAGCAGTGTTAGGTATAAGCCCATCAGTGATTAGAGGGGGTATGGGGTGGAGAGGGGGTCTCTGAGCAGTGGGTCTCCGGGCTCTGGGGAAGCTGGCTGGGTGGCCATACTAGGAGCTGAACCCGAAGGTACTCTGTGTGTCCTCTCAACTCCACGGGCCCCACTTTGGCATTTTCTCCAATTCCCTCTCGTTTCCATTTGCTTCCTCCCTCTAGCCCCCTGGCTGTGTCCAATTTCAACACCAAGTTTCTGAGCTTTTCTCATTTTGTTCACTGTCTCCAGAACATCCCTGCTTCTTTTACCTTTCAAAGAATTCAAACTTGAACTCTGCTCACTCCTGCCCATCACCAACCTGAGCTCAGAGTTCCTGAGAAGGGAAAGCACCCTCATAAGGAAACTCCTCCTTTTCTTACATCATTAGACTTGAGCACAGACAGCATTTCCATCTCCACACTGCTCTGGCCAGGTTGTGCCTCAGTCAATTACACAACTGTGTCTCAGTAGCCTTGGTAGGGCCCAAATCAGGATATTCTTTGGGAAGTTTCACTTTGTACTGAGCCAAGCATAATCTCCCGGGATCTAAAATAGAAAATTCTAGACCCACCCCTCCACATCTTCGTTATTGAACCCAATATGTCACCCATTTACCATGTGCTCAAATCTCTACCTACTGCTGATTCTCAGATCAAATCGTAACCCAGGTTTACCATGGTCCAAACTCTGACATCTGATTGGGGCCATGTCATCCTGGTTCAGGCTGTCAGCCCCAAGCAGGTGGGTCAGTTTGCCTCACCCTGAGAGCAGGTTGCCAGGGCAACCATGAGGCTGCATAAAAAGAACCTATGACAGGATGCATATGAGAGAGACAAATGTCTTCACATTGAAGAAGGGGAGGAGTGCACCATTGGTTTTCCATCCTCCAGATGCACTAAGCTCCTACCTAAACTGTGCCCCCTCCTTCTTTGAAACACATCCCATCCTTAAGCCTTGGTAGGAAGGAGAGCCATCTGGAAGCCCTGAATCCTATGGAATGCTGAGTCTCCCTTCTCCTTACCCCTTAGTGTTGGAATTCTCATTCCCCAAAGTCTTGGATTTGACCTTGCCCGACACTGACTGGAGAGAAGCATCTTCATATTCACAGGAATGAGCCTTAGATCAGACTTTGCTCCTCTCCTGGGAGCTCCAGGACACTGAAAAGCCAAGCTTGTTACCAATACTTGCCCTTCCTTAAGTACATTAAATACATCCCAAATAGTTAAACAGATTCCTAAACAGCCAGGCCATTCTCCCTCCTTCTAACCCTCATCTCCTCGGCCTACGAAAGCCCAGATGTGTGATCCAGGGCTTGGCTTCCCCTGTCTTCCCCATCCCAGCATCCTTGCGGGAAAGGGCTGCTCTCTCTCTCTGCTTTCAGAAGGCAAATTTCCTTATCACCTATGAGTCACAAACCCAGAGAGTGGCCAAACATAGCCAAGCTGATGCAAGACCCTGGGAAGGGGAAAGCTGCAGGTGTGTTTGTGCTGGGAGGAGTGCTGACCCTCACCTCAGAGACACCTCCTCTCCAGATCCTCAGGAGGTATAAAGACAGGTCCTCCACCACCAGTCAGGCACACTCTACCACCATGAATCCACTCCTGATCCTTGCCTTTGTGGGAGCTGCTGGCGAGTTTCATGCCATGCCTCAGGCCCCAACCACCCCCTTTCCTGGCAGACACTTGCCCTGCCATTCTTGCCACCTTTCCCATTTTGACTGTGTTCTGATATTCTATTTCCTCCATCTCTCCTTCCCATCCTCCTTCGGCTCTCTTTAAGCCTCACCTGTTTCAGCTTCTCCATGATTTCACTCCCACCACTGTCATTCATCCATATCTGAGCTGTGGCTGGAGAAGCTGGGAAGGGAGACCAGGTGGGGCGGGCCCACAAAATGAAGCAGCAGCCTTCAGGCTTGGCTCCATAGCACCAGTATAGCACCATTATATCTGCTCTTAACCTCAAATGCACCTGGGGAGGTTGAAAAATTACTCATATCAGAGACTCAGCTTTAGAAGTTCTAACTTCATTCTCTGGGGTGCAACCTGTGTACTGGGCTTTTAACATTCCCGGGTGATTTTTAACATTTCCATGCATGCAGCCAAGGTTAAGAATTGCTGTTCTATTGGCCAATAACAATGTCTACCTTTGTTCTGCCAAAGTGAGCCTGGGGGCTGCCCTCAACTCTGCCCTGACTACACAAATCTGAGCTATGGGGGAAGCTGGTCATGGCCAGGTCTACGCAGCCAGGGGGTTTTCCTAGCTTGGCCAAAGTATACTGACAATCCAGGGCTCAAATCGCCAGGGGAAGTACACAGGTGATGAATAAAAGAGAGAAGCACTCAGTGGGTGAGACAACCACATCCCAATTCCTATCCCACTGGAAGCATTGTGAGGACATTCCTTGAATCCTCAGCCTGGTGACCCCGGGGAGAACTGAGCCCCTGCAGGGTACCTAGCTACATGCCCTGCAGACACAGAGACTTGGGAGCCACATGCAGTGATGCTTACCAGGGGTGACAGCGCTCCCTCCCTTACCTAGCCTCACTGTGCTCGTTAAGGATTTCTAATTAGCAGGAAGCAACCGAAGGCTGGGAGCGCTACCCCTAACATGCTACTGACTTGCCTTCTCCTTTCCCATCTCCACTCCAGTTGCTTCCCCTTTCGACGACGATGACAACATCATTTAGTGGTATACCTGTGAGGAGAATTCTGTCCCCTACCAGGTGTCCCTGAATTCTGGGTACCACTTCTGCAGTGGCTCCCTCCTCAGCGAACAGTGGGTGGTGTCAGCAGCTCACTGCTACAAGTAGTAAGTGTGGGGCCCCTGACTGCAAAGCTCCCAGCCAGGCTGCCTGGGAGAGCTTGGCTTCAGCCCAGGGAACTACTGAGGTTGGGTAAGATGGATGGGAGAGGTGGTGGAGAAGAAAACTTGTTGGCAGCAGCGGACTCTCCAGAGCAGAGAGCGAACACAAGACAGGAAGCTCTCACACCCAGGCAAATCCATGAAACAGCAAGGGTTGTGGTCATAAAAGCAGGCAGGGATGATCTTGGTGTTTGGCAGAGCTAGTAAGAACAGCAGGCAAGTACCCTTTGCTGGTTAGCTACACATCAAAGTCACTTAAGAAAGAGTTTTTAAAAGTACTGATGCCTGTGTCCTATCCCAGGGCAATTATCAGGAATTTTCAGGAAGAGGGTGTGAATATCAGTGAGTATTAAACATTCTACCTCTGGTAACTGTAGATTGTATAGACAGAGCTGAGAACTGCTCCCTACACCAAGAACTCTCAAACCTGAGTTTGCCTCAGAACCACCTGCAGGGTTGTTAAAGCACAAATCACTGGGACCCATCCCCAAGGTTCTGAGCAGTAGGTGGGGGTAAGGACCAAGAATTTACATTTCTAACAAGTTCCCAGGAGATGCTAATGCTATGGCTACCCTTAGGTTAGATTACACAGAAGGGTGGTGCTCACCAGGCCAAGAAAGGAGGGAGGAACAGGCACTGTGCACAGTTAGCAAAGGCCTGGGGTGAAGAATGCTGGGAAAACTTCAAAGAGCTCCTTGTGCCCACAGTGCTAGTGACTGTGGAGATTGTGGGAAAGAGGCTGGGAAGGAGGGTTAAGGAGCATCCTCCGGTGGAATCCTTTTGACTCTTCCCAACCCCATTACCACCAACCTCTGAAACAGAAAGGTCCTGGGTCTCACAACTTCACTGACCCCCATCCCTCTCCTGCCCATGTGATATGGCCACACACCCCACCCGATGCCTCCAGAGCTGCCCATGAGCAGGGAGCTTGAGGACCCTGGGGAAAGTAAGATGGGTGTCCCAGCTGTGGGAGAAGGTCTTCACCATGCCTGCCCTGCCCATCAGCCGCATCCAGGTGAGACTGGGAGAGCACAACGTCGAAGTTCTGGAGGGGAATGAGCAGTTCATCAATGCAGCCAAGATCATCCGCCACCCCAAATACAACAGTTGGACTCTGGACAATGACATCCTGCTGATCAAGCTCTCCATGCCTGCTGTCATCAATGCCCACATGTCCACCATCTCTCTACCCACCGCCCCTCCAGCTGCTGGCACCAAGTTCCTCATCTCTGGCTAGGGCAACACTCTGAGCTCTGGTGGTGAGTGGGACCCTTTGTCCTTCTCCTTCCCTCCATCCTCACAATTTCCAGAACAAACCATGCCCCTTAACTTGAATCCTCTCACCTCCAGGCTTAAGACACATTTCTAGTGCCCATTACACACAGGCTGTACAGTGGATGGACATCAGAGAGATGCAAAGTCTCAAGGACTTGGCTCCTAAAATCAAAAGACAGGACATATAGAGAACTTGCTTTGATCACGTCTTGGAAGGGGTTCAAAAATGATCATTCTGGGAACTAAAAGCCAGAGTCCCTTGCCAGGACTTAGGTTTCGGAGTCCTCTCCAGGGACAGTGTTCCTCTTCAATGTTCCATCCTAGATTATTGTCTCCTTCTCTGGCCTGATCTACACTTCTACTTTCTTTGTTCTCTTGCTGATCCTCACAGCCAACTATCCAGATGAGCTGCAGTGCCTGGACACTCATGTGCTGACCCAGGCTGACTGTGAAGCCTCCTACCCTGGAGAGATTACCAACAACATGTTCTGTGTGGGTTTCCTTGAGGGAGGCAAGGATTCCTGCCAGGTGGTTTGACCCCTTCCCATGCTGAGGTTCCCACTGATACCCAGGCCCCACCCAGGAAAAAGATTTGAACTCCCAAGGTGGCGGGGCTCAGGAGGCTCCCTGCACTGCCCCCATGGAGAAGTGAGGAAGACTCCCTTGGGCTGCATCCTGTCTGCTTAGGAAGAACAGAGAATGGGCCACTGTGCGAAGGACGTGGAGCCAAAGAGCTGGCTGGAAAGGAGTCTTTTAAGGTTCAGAGCAAATGTAGCTATATTCTTCCTCTTTCTCTCTCTTCATACAGCTTGTCCCTTCTTCTCCCCAGGGTGACTCTGGTGGCCCTGTGGTCTGCAACGGACAGCTCCAAGGAGTTGTCTCCTGGGGCTATGGCTGTGCCCAGAAGAACAGGCCTGGAGTCTACACCAAGGTCTACAACTATGTGGACTGGATTAAGGACACCATAGCTGCCAACAGCTAAAGCCTCTGGTACCTCTGCAGTCTCTATACCAATAAAGTGACCTTGCTTTCACTGTCTGTGTCTGTGCCTGCTCCCTCACACTGCTTCACACTGGAAAGCATCCTCCAATCTCAGGTCAGCCACGACTCCCCCCCTTAAAGGTAAGCTGAACCCTCATCTCCCAAAATGTGTTGCATGGTACACTAGATTAGCACATACAAATAGATGGAATCCAAAAATTATAAGAAACTTGGGAGAAAGGGGGGCACTGTTTTCTAGAGAAATGTGTGTTTCAGAAAGTTGGTCTTTGGTGGGGGGGTACTGATTTTTATTTGGGCTTCTCACAGTGGGTAGAGCTACTCTGCCTTCAGAACAATCACAGCACAGAAAATGTTGTCAGCATCTTCGAGGCAGCCCAAAAAATCCGACCAGCTGAATCTTCTTGCTAAAATACATCAAAAAAGACAAATGCTGTTGGTGATGACGTGCCTCTCACAGGAATATGTCAGCACCAAACCCTCAACCAAGCCCTCCCTCCTCATTCACCTGGAAAATTAGACTCAAGCAAAGCTCCCTGGCCTCCTACCTCTTCCCTCAGTTCCCTAGTTCCATCTCTGTGAGCAGGCTAGAGAGATGTTCCACCTACCATAGCGGGAGCTAGACTGCGACTTGGGAATCAAGCCAGGTCTGCACGCTGCATTTTCATCTTCTTTGCCTTTGGGGTAGGACGCCATATGAATCCCACAGTTAACACCAGCTCCCCACTCTGACCAGGGAAAGAAACTAGAGAGGGTCAAGATTCACCCATTTGATCAATTAACTGAGGTAGGTTTCATTTTCATATAACTTGCTTGCCTTTGAGATACTTCAAGTGACTTACGTGGGACTCCTTAAAAAAAAGTGGAGGGAAAGACATCTGAGCAGCCACTCTGGCCACATGTTGGCTGGCTTGCACCCACTGGATGCAGCAGAGGGAGGCAGGCCCCCTGGCACCTCTGGCACCTGCCAAAGCCTCTTCCAGGCAATTCTGAGAGGGACCATGTTGGGGCTGTAGCTCATCCAAGCTTGTCACCGAAGATCCAAGCAAGCTTCTCTTTGAAATTCCACCTTCATCTTCTGTCCCAAGTGGTTGTGGACACCCCTGGGAGCTGGTAACAAGGGCCAGGAGCAGCCAAGGAAGACAGACAAGTTCAGAGCACATTTCCAGTTACAGGGAACAGAGCACAGGCCTCCAAGTGTCCACAGAGCAGTGTGCAAATTGCAGGGATGAGTAGAGGAAAACCTCTACATGGAGCACAGCATTCCTGGCAAACACAAGGGACCGCAGTCCACATGCTGTGGAATAAACCCAAGTATGCATCGGACACTTGTTTGGTAAACAGTAAATGTGTAAGATCAATTACCTTGAGAGGGCCATCTGGGCTCCAGATATGTAGTTCATGTGAGGAGACGGCTACCACTCACTATCTTCAGAGGAAAACAGGGCTCAGGGCTTGCACACAATGGAGATACACACAGGTCACCCAGAACGTCAATACATACAAACATCACTTTGTTCAACATGGATTTTGTTTTTATGGAGTCCAAACGCAGACCGTAGTTCACCTTACAGCCTTGGGTTTGTCTGCTTTTGGAGACATATATCCAGTAGATAGATAGACAACACAGATACATTTTTTTCCCTTTCTTACTGTAACGTCAGTGCCTCGTCTGAATATCATCATCACTCAAGAATCAAGGGAAGAACAAAATGCTTCATATAAACAGGGCTGGGCAAGGAGTCTTAGTTTCCCCTGTTTTCTGTCTCCATTCAGATCATTCCTATCAAAGCCCAGCTGGTTACCTCAAGCCAAGAGACAGACATAAGGATCCCAATGGCCTTCTAGATGGCTGCTTCCACCTCCTACCTGGGCCACATAGAGTCTTTACACAGAAATCTGAGTTAGCCCTGTGAGAAGGGTTGACAGCACAAACAGTGCATGAAAATCACAGATAACCATGGTATATCTCGCAAGTGGTCAGTGTAAAATAAACCACCACCACCACCACAAAAAACACAAAACAAGCAGAAAAATGCTTATTCAAAAATCTAAGACAAAATACTGTGTGAGAAACAGGCCACGGGGTTGCCTTTTCTCAGGCCACACAGCTTTCCCATTCCATGTGCTCACATGGACCGTGAGATGTGAAAGTCTGCAGGGCGTGTGCTCGGGATCGAGGCTGGTACTGTTCACCTGTGGGTCCAGACCAAATGGCAAAGAGGCAGAAAGCTATAACTCTGTCCACCGCCACGGCTTAGGGCCTCCTTCTCACAGAGGCTCCAAAGAGCCCCCACCTCAGCCTTCACACAAAACATCTCCTTCTGGCTGAACAACAGCCAGGCTGGAGTGCCGTGGCATGATCTCTGCTCACTACAACCTCCACCTCCCGGGTTCAAGTGATTCAGTCTCCCAAGTACACGGGATTACAGGTGCATGCCACCATGCCAAGCTAATTTTTTTTTTCTTTTTTGTATTTTTATTAGAGACAGGGATTTACGATGTTGGCCAGTGTGGTTTTGAACTCCTGACCTCAAGTGATCCAGAGTGCTAGGATTACAGGTGTGAGCCACAGCTTCTGGCCCAGGCCCCATTTTTTAAAAAATAATTTCAAATTTTATTTTAGATTCATGGGGTACATGTGCAGGTTTGTTACATGGGTATACTGTGTGATGCTGAGGTTTGGGGCACAAATGATCTCCTCACTCAGGAACTGAGCACAGTACCCAATAGGTATTTTTTCAGCCCTTTCCACACTCCTTCTCTCTTCCCTCTAGTAGTTGCAGTGTCTACTCTTCCCATCTTTACATCCATTTTTACCCAATGCTCAGCTCCGACTTATACATGAGAACGTGATATTTGGTTTTCTGTTCCCATGTTAATTTGCTTAGGATTATGGTCTCCAGCTCCATCCATGTTGCTGCAAAGGACATGATTTCATTCTTTTCATGGCTGCATAGTATTCCATGGTGTATATGTACCACATTTTCTTTATCCAGTCTACCGCTGATGGCCACCTAGGTTGATTCCATGGCTTTGCTACTGTGAATAGTGCTGTGATGGACATGCAAGAGCATGAGTCTTTTTGGCAGAACAATTACTTTCCTTTAGGTAAATGCCCAATAAAGCAAGTGCTGGGTGGAAAGATAGTTCTGTTTTAAATTGTTTCAGAAATCTCCAAACGGTTTTCTACATTAATTTTTCCATGAACTGATTTACACTCTGGCCAACAGTGTACAAGCATTCCCTTTCCACTGCAGCCTCATGAGCATCTTCTATTCTGTGGACATTTTAATAATAACCACACTGCAGCCAAGCTCTTTCAAGCCCAATGTGGGGAACAGCCACAAACATCCCTTTTCCCAACGAGAATTCTTGCCTGCCCACTGGTAGAATTCTTGTTTTCAGCTGTCTTTCATTGTTTGCTTTTCAAAGAAAAACCAAAGGTAAAGTGGTATGATCTTCCACACGTGAACCAGTTTGTAGCCACCAGAGCCTGCTGGGAAGGGGCCCCTCACGCATGCATTGATCTTGTCATGTGGAATTTGAGAGATCTAGAAGCCCCACAGCAACCTACCATACAACTGCCTATCAGCGCTCATCCTTTCACAGGATTAGCTCAATTCTGGCTCTGCAGACACTGGCAGCCACGGGTGAGAAACCCTGGGCCTCTGTGGGCTTCCTTCATCACCCAGGGCCACAGTGGGCTGCCTGTCCTAGGCAGAGACACAGCAACATTCTCTTAAGCTGAAATTAAGCATAAACCCACTTCACCAATAATCATCTGAGGGCACAGTCCCTGCCTCCTTCCTTGGGGATTTTAAAACACACATCTCTCTGACCAAACAGGTAGGTGAGATCTGACTTTAAAGGGGGGAAAGTGGGATGAATTGGGGTATCAGGAATGAATCCCAAGTGTTTTTGTGTGGCGAATGGCATCCACATCCCAAAATATACTTGGAGATGGGGAAAAAAGCAGGAGAGGAGAAGGGTAAAAAAGGAGGACAAAGTGTCTGAAAGTCATTGAAAGCTTCTCTCATGGTTCTTTCTGGCTCTGGTTGCTTTGCCAAGGTCTTGAGTGCAGGCAGGGCTGGCTCTGGCTGGGAGCTGCTGCTCTGGAACATGGAAGAGTCACTTCACCTTCAGAAAGCTCATTTGCTCATCTGTAAAGTGGGCAATTCCATAGGTGGTTGTGATGATAAAATGAAAAAAAAGTTCTTAACTTATATGAGTGACATGCTGTATAGTAAGTTACATGCTATATAGGAAGCACACAGAAATGATTCACTGTTATGATAATGGAAGGACAGTGGTTTGGCATGTTAAGCACTAAACACAAGCCAGAAAGATATCTTAGAGAAGTAGACAAAGAAATCTATAGTTCAGAATGAACAGTACCAAGAATGACATGTCCCCCAAATTGAGCATGGGTAGCTGGATCTGAACCTATCCTACACATCTGAGTCTACAGTATGAGGTAACAGTCTTCACCTATAGCTATCTCCTCTGCCTGTAAGGTCATTCCTTTTTGAAGAAAGCTGACCTCAGACTATACTGTGATCGCTTAAGGAAGAGCACAAAATACTGGAGAAGGCTAGTCTTCAAGCTCTAGATACAGAAAATCCTCAATTCTTGGGTGTTACCTTTCAGAAAAAGAGTCAGAGCTACAAGCCCTGATCCAAAAATCCCTTTTTCCAAAAAAATTCTCCATCTTCTACCAAGGTTCACCTCCCTGTTTAGTGCACACTGGTGTCTATAGTTGCTAGAGCAAGAGTCTCTCCTTATCCTCTAAGGCAGGAGTTCTGTGAAGACCCCATGACAAGGGGACAAAATGAAATAACATGTTCAGCGACAACACAGCAAAACCCCATATTATCAATGCTCTAAAACCTAGCTACCTCAGGCTTGGCCAGTTATTCATGAGCAGAGAGGTGTGTCATCTACATGGCAGTCATGGCCTGGATGGGTCTGGAACTGTGGCAAGGTAAGGCTCTGAGAAAAGGTGCCAGGAGAAAGATGAATTCAATCATCTATTTCTGCCAGGAAGAAAAGCACCAGGAAGGAATCAGATGTACAGTTTGTCCTCTGGGGACCTCTGCCTTGATCCTCAATAAATCTCCTTTTAGATGCCACGTGCAGCAATTCCCACACTTCACAATGCTCTCCATGGCTTCTGTTGGCCTTATGGTCAGCTCTGCCAAGATCTGTATTCTTGGGCAAGACAGAATCCTTCTGAATCTCAGTCTCTTCCTCTATAAATGGAAATAATTTTGCTCCACACAAGTCACCATTAGCACGTTGGTGGGAAGTTAAACTGCGAAACTCAGCATAAACAAAGAGCAATGTACCACTGTTGCTTACGTGAAAACTCCCGTGAAGCAGTCAGGCACCATGCACCATCTAAGCATAGCAGCGTTAGGTATCAGCCTATTAGTGATTAGAGAGGGTACCGGGGAGAGAGGGGGCCTCAGAGCAGTGGGTCTCCTGGCTGTGGGGAAGCTGCCTCAGTGGCCATGCCAGGAGCTGAACCTGAAGGTACTCTGTGTGTCCTCTCAACACCATGGACCCTATTTTGGTATTTTTTTCCAGTTACCTCTGGTTTCCATTTGCTTCCTCCCTCTAGCCCCCTGGCCATGTCCGATTTCTCCAGCAAGTTTCTGAGCTTTTCTCATTTTGCTCACTGTCTCCAGAACATCCCTGCTTCTTTTACCTTTCAAAGAATTCAAACTTGAACTCTGCTCACTCCTGCCCATCACCAACATTAGCTCAGAGTTGATGAGAAGGGAAAGCACCCTCATAAGGAAGCCCCTCCTTTCCTTACATTATTAGACCTGAGCGCAGACAGCATCTCCATCTCCACACTGCTCTGGCCAGGTTATGCCTCAGTCAATTACACGACTGTATCTTAGTACCCTTGGTAGGGCTCAAATCAGGATATTCTCTAGAAAGATTCACTTAGTACTGAGCCAAGTATAATCTCACTACATCTAAAATAGAAAATTCTAGACCCACCCCTCCACATCTTTGTTATTGAACCCAATATGTCACCCATTTACCATGTGCTCAAATCCCTACCTACTGCTGATTCTCAGATCAAATCATAACCCAGATTTACCATGGTCCAAACTCTGACATGTGATCAGGGGCATGTCATTCTGGTTCAGGCTGTCAGCCCCAAGCAGGTGGGTCAGTTTCAATCACCCTGAGTGCAGGTTGCAAGGGCAACCATGAGGCTGCATAAAAAGAACCTATGACAGGATGCACATGAGAGACAAATGTCTTCACATTGAAGAAGGGGAGGAGTGCGCCATTGGTTTTCCATCCTCCAGATGCACTGAGTAAGCTCCTACCTAACCTGTGCCCCCTCCTTCTTCTCATCCCTATGCCGTGGTAGGAGGGAGAGCCATCTTCAAGCCCAGCATCCTATGGAATGCTGAGTCTCTCTTCTCCTTACCCCTTAATGTTGGAATTCTCATTCCCCAAAGCCTTGGATTTGACTTTCCCACTGAGTGACTGGAGAGAAGCATCTTCATATTCACAGGAACAAGCCTTAGTTAGATAAGACTTTGCCCCTCTCCTGGGAGCTCCAGGACACTAAAAAGCCAAGCTTGCTACCAACACTTGCCCTTCCTTAAGTACATTAAATATAACCCCAATAGTAAAATATATTCCTAAACAGCCAGGCCATTCTCCCTCCTTCTAACCCTCATCTCCTCGGCCTAAGAAAGCCCAGCTGTGTGATCTGGGGCTTGGCTTCCCCTGTCTTTCCCATATCAGCATCCTTCCAGGAAACAGCCGGTCTCCCTCTCTGCTCTCAGAAGGCAAGTTTCCTTATCACCTGTGAATCACAAACCCACAGAGTGGCCAAACATACTGATGCAAGACCATAGGAAGGGGAAAGCTGCAGGTGTGTTTGTGCTGGGAGGAGCAGTGACCCTCACCTCACAGACACCTCCTCTCCCCATCCTCGGGAGGTATAAAGACGGGTTCTCCACCAGCAATCAGGCACACTCTACCACCATGAATCTACTTCTGATCCTTACCTTTGTTGCAGCTGCTGGTGAGTTTCACGCCCTGCCTCAGGCCTCAACCAACCCTTCCCTGGCAGACACATGCCCTGCCATTCTTGCCACCTCTCCTCTTTTGACTGTGCTGTGATATTCTATTTCCTCCATCTGGCATTTCTTCTTCCCATCCTCCTTGGGCTCTTTTTAAGCCTCACTTGTTCCACCTTCTCCTTGATTTCACTCCCACCGCTGTTATTCATCCATATCCGAGCTGTGGTTGGAGAAGCTGGGAAGGGAGACCAGGTGGGGCTGGCCCATGAAATGAAGCAGTAGGCTTCAGGCTTGGCTCTGACAGCACCACAATAGCACCACTATAGCTGCTCTTAACCTCGAATGCACCTGGGGAGGTTGAAATTACTCATGCAAGACACTCAACTCTAGAAATTCTCACTTCAATTGTCTGGTGTGCAGCCTGTGTTCTGGGCTTTTAAGCTTCCCAGGTGATTTTTAACATTTCTAGGCATGCAGCCAAGGTTAAGAATTGCTGTTGTTTTGACCAATAATAACGTATACCTTTGTTCTGCAAAAGTGAGCCTGGGGCTTCCCTCAACTCTGCCCTCACTGGGCAGATTTGAGCTGAGGGGGAAACTGGTCATGGCCAAGTCGATGTCGCCAGGGGGTTTTCCTAGCTTGGCCAAAGTAGCCAGACAATCCGGGGCTTAAATAACCAGGTGGAGTACACAGGTGGTGAATAAAAGAGAGAAGACTTCAGTGCTTGAGACAGCCACATCCCAAATCCTATCCCACTGGAAGTATTGTGAGGATATTCCTTGCGTCCTCAGCCTGGTGACCCCAGGAGAGATCTGAACCCCCACAGGGTACCTAGCTACGTGCCCTGCAGACACAGAGACTTGGGAGCCACATCCAGTGATGATCACCAGGGCTGGCAGCGCTCCCCCCCTTGCCTAGCCTCACTGAGCTTGTTAAGGTTTTCTAATTAGCAGGAAGCAGCCACAGGCTGGGAGCGCCACCCCTAACATGCTACTGACTTGCCTTCTCCCTTCCCATCTCCACTCCAGTTGCTGCCCCCTTTGATGATGATGACAAGATCGTTGGGGGCTACATCTGTGAGGAGAATTCTGTCCCCTACCAGGTGTCCTTGAATTCTGGCTACCACTTCTGCGGTGGCTCCCTCATCAGCGAACAGTGGGTGGTGTCAGCAGGTCACTGCTACAAGTCGTAAGTGTGGGGCCCCTGACTGCAAAACTCCCAGCCAGGCTGCCTGGGAGAGCTTGGATTCAGCCCAGGGAAGTACTGAGGTTGGGTAGGACGGACGAGAGAGATGGTGGAAAAGAAAACTTGTTGGCAGCAGCTGACTCTCCAGAGCAGAGAGTGAACACAAGACAGGAAGCCCTCACACCCAGGCAAATCCATGAAACAGCAAGGGTTGTGGTCATAAAAGCAGGCAGGGATGATCTTGGGGTGGTGAGAGCTAGTGAGAAGAGCAGGCTAGTACTTTTGCTGGTTAGCTACACATTAAAGCCACCTAAGAATGAGTACTTAAAAATACTGATCCCTGTGTTCTATCCCAGGGCAATTAACTCAAAATTATCAGGAAGAGGGTGTGAATATCAGTGAGTATTTCACACTCTACCTCTGGTAACTGTAGAGTGTATAGACAGAGCTGAGAACTGCTGCCTACACCAAGAACTCTTAAACCTGAGTATGCATCAGAACTCCCTGCAGGCTTGTTAAGGCACAAATCACTGGGACCCATCCCCAAGGTTCTGATCAGTAGGTGGGGGTAAGGACCAAGAACTTACATTTCTAACAAATTCCCAGGAGATGCTAATGCTATGGCTACCCTTGGATTAGATTACACAGAAGGGTGGTGCTCACCAGGCCAAGAATGGAGGGAGGAGCAGGCACTGTGCACAGTTAGCAAAGGCCTGGAGTGAAGAATGTTGGGAAAACTTCAAGGAGCTCCTTGTGCCCACAGTGCTAGTGACATGGAGATTATGGGAAAGAGTCTGGGAAGGCAGATTGAGGAGCAGCCTCTGGTGGGATCCCTTTGACTCTTCCCCACTCCACTACCACCAACCTCTGAAGCAGAAAGGTCCTGGGTTTCACACCTGCACTGACCCACATTGCTCTCCTGCCCATGCAATATGGCCACACACCCCACCCCATGCCTCCAGAGCTGTCCATGAGCAGGGAGCTTAAGGACCCATGGAAAGGTGGGAGGGGTGCCCTGGCTGTGGGAGAAGGTCTTCACCATGCCTGCCCTGCCCATCAGCCGCATCCAGGTGAGACTGGGAGAGCACAACATCGAAGTCCTGGAGGGGAATGAACAGTTCATCAATGCGGCCAAGATCATCCGCCACCCCAAATACAACAGCCGGACTCTGGACAATGACATCCTGCTGATCAAGCTCTCCTCACCTGCCGTCATCAATTCCCGCGTGTCCGCCATCTCTCTGCCCACTGCCCCTCCAGCTGCTGGCACCGAGTCCCTCATCTCCGGCTGGGGCAACACTCTGAGTTCTGGTGGTGAGTGGGACCCTTTGTCCTTCTACTTCCCTCCATCCCACAATTTCCAGAACAAACCATGCCCCTTAACTTAAATCCTCTCGCCTCCAGGCTTAAGACACATTTCTAGTGCCCATTACACACAGGCTCTGCACTGGGCACCAGAGAGATGCAAATTCTCAAGGATGTGGCTCCTAAAATCAAAAGACAGGACAAATGGAGAACTTGCTATGATCACTTCGTGGGAGAGGTTCAACAATGATCATTCTGGGAACTAAAAGCCAGAGTCCCTTGCCAGGACTTATGTTTTGGAGTCCTCTCCAGGGGCAGTGTTCCTCTTCAATGTTCCATCCTAGACTATTGTCTCTTTCTCTGGCCTAACCCACATTTCTTTCTTTGTTCTCTTCCTGATCCTCACAGCCGACTACCCAGACGAGCTGCAGTGCCTGGATGCTCCTGTGCTGAGCCAGGCTGAGTGTGAAGCCTCCTACCCTGGAAAGATTACCAACAACATGTTCTGTGTGGGCTTCCTCGAGGGAGGCAAGGATTCCTGCCAGGTGATTTGACCCCTTCCCATGCTGAGGCTCCCACTGATAACCAGGCCCCACCAGGGAAAATGATTTGAACTCCCAAGGTGGCGGGGCTGAGGAGGCTCCCTGCAGTGCCCCATGGAGAAGTGAGGAAGACTCCTTTGGGCTGCATCCTGTCTGCTTAGGAAGAACAGAGAATGGGCCACCGTGAGAAGGACGTGGAGCCACAGAGCTGGCTGGAAAGGGCTCTTTTAAGGTTCAGAGCAAATGTAGGTGTATTCCTCCTCCATCTCTCTCTTCATACAACTTGTCCCTTCTTCCCCCCAGGGTGATTCTGGTGGCCCTGTGGTCTCCAATGGAGAGCTCCAAGGAATTGTCTCCTGGGGCTATGGCTGTGCCCAGAAGAACAGGCCTGGAGTCTACACCAAGGTCTACAACTATGTGGACTGGATTAAGGACACCATAGCTGCCAACAGCTAAAGCCCCTGGTCCCTCTGCAGTCTCTATACCAATAAAGTGACCCTGCTCTCACTGTCTGTGTCTGTGCCTCCTCCTTCACACTCCTTCACATTGGAAAGCATCCTCCAACCTCAGGTCAGACAGGGCTCTCCCCCTTAAACATAAGAAGAGCCTCCAGCTCCCAAATGTGTTCCATGGTACACTAGATTAACACATACAAAGAGGTGGAATCCAAAAATAAGAAGCTTGGGAGAAAGGGGGGCACTGTTTTCTAGAGAAACGTGTGTTTCAGAAAGGTGGTCTTCGGCAGGGGCTATTGTTTTATTTGGGCTTCTCAGAGTGGTTAGAGCTACTCTGCCTTCAGAACAATCACAGTACAGAAAATGTGTCAGCATCTTCGAGGTGGCCCAAAATATTTGACCAGCTGAAACTTCTTGCTAAAATACAACAATAATTACAAATGCTGCTGGTGATGACGTGACTCTCCCAGGAATGTGTCGGCACCAAACCCTCGACCAAGCCCTCCCTTCTCATTCGCCTGGAAAATCAGACTCAAATAAATCTTCCTGGCCCTCCGACTCTTCCCTTAATTCCCTAGTTCCATCTCTGTGAGCAGGCTAGAGAGATGTTCCACCTACCACAGCGGGAGCCAGACTGCGACTTGGGAATCAAGCCCAGCTCTTCATGCTGCATTTTTATCTTCTTTGCCTTTGGGGTAGGATGCCACAGTGAATCCCACAGCTAACACCAGCTCCTCACTCTGACCAGGGAAAGAAACTACAGAGGGTCAGGATTCACCCATTTGATCAATTAACTGAGAAAGGATTCATTTTCATAAAACTTGCTTGACTTTGAGACACTTCAAGTGAGTTATTTGGGATTCTTTAAAAAAGGTGGAAGGAAAGATCTGAGGACTGTGACACAACCAGCCACTCTGACCACACATTGACTGGCTTGCACCCACTGGACACAGCAGAGGGAGGCAGGCTTCATGGCACTTGCGGCACCTGCCAAAGCCTCCTTCTGGCAATTCTGAGAGGGCCTAAGTTGGGGCCGTAGCTCATCCAAGCTTGTCACCCAAGATCCAAGCAAGCTTCTCTTTGAAATTCCACCTTCACCTTCTGTCCCAAGTGGTTGTGGACATCCCTGGGAGCTGGCGCTAAGGGCCAGGAGCAGCCAAGGGAGACAGACAAGTTCAGAGCACATTTCCAGTTACAGGGAACAGAGCACAGGCCTCCAAGTGTCCATGGAGCAGCGTGCAAATTGCAGGGATGAGTAGAGTAAAACCTCTACATGCAGCACAGCATTCCTGGCAAACACAGGGGACCACAGTACACATGCTGTGGAATACACCCAAGTATGCATCAGACACTTGTTTGGTAAACAGTAAATGTGTAAGATCAATTACCTTGAGAGGGCCATCTGTGCTCCAGACATGTGGTTTGTGTGAGGAGACGGCTACCACTCACTATCTTCAGAGGAAAACAGGGCTCAGGGCTTGCACACAATGGACAGATACACATGGGTCACCCAAAACGTCACTGCATACAAACATCACTTTGTTCAACATGGATTTTGTTTTTATGGAGTCCAAATGCAGACCCTAGTTCACCTTACAGCCTTGGGTTTGTCTGCTTTGGGAGATATATATCCAGTTGATAGACAGACAAGACAGATACATTTTTTCCCTTTCTTACCACAATGTCAATGCCTCATCTGAATATCATCATTACTCAAGAGTCAAGGGAAGAACCAAACGCTTCATATAAACAGGGCTGGGCTGGGCTAGATGGGGAGTGTTAGTTTCCAGTGTTTTCTGTCTCCATTCAGATCATTCCTATCAAAGCCCAGCTGGTCACCTCAAGCCAAGACACAGACATAAGGATCCCAATGGCCTTCCAGATGGCTGCTTCCACCTCCCATCTTGGCCACTAAGACTCTTTACACAGGAAAGTGAGTCACCCCAGTGAGAAGGGTTGCCAGCGGAAATAGGGCATGAAAATCACAGATAACCATGGGATTTCTTCCAAGTGGTCAGTGTAAAATAAACCACCACCACCACCACCGAAAACACAAAAGAAGCAAAAAAAGTGCTTATTCAAAATCCAAGACAAAATACTGTGTGAGAGTCAGGCCACGGGGTTGCCTTTTCTCAGGCCACACAGCTTTCCCAGTCCGTTTGCTCGCATGGAACCGTAAGATGTGAAGGCCTGCAGAGCGTGTGCTTGGGATGGAGGCTGGTACTGTTCACCTGTGGGTCCAGACCAAAGGGCAAAGAGGCAGAAAACTGAAACTCTGTCCACCGGCACAGCTTAGGCCCTTCTGCTCATAGAGGCTCTGAAGAACCCCCACCTCAGCCTTCACACATATCCTTCTGGCTGAACTACAGCCAGGCTGGAGTGCCATGGCATGATCTCTGCTCACTACAACCTCTGCCTCCAGGGTTCAAGTGATTCAGCCTCCCAAGTAGCTGGAATTACAGGCACCCACCACTGTGCCCAGCTAATTTATTTTTTATTTTATTTATTTATTTATTTATTTATTTATTTATTTATTTATTTTGTATTTTTAGCAGAGACAGGGTTTCACCATGTTGGCCAGACTGGTTTTGAACTCCTGACCTCAAGTGATCCAAAGTGCTGGGATTACAGGCGTGAGCTACCGCTCCTGGCTCAGACCCCATTTTTAAAAAATATTTTCAACATTTATTTTAGATTCATGGGGTACATGTGCAGATTTGTTACATGGGTATATTGTGTGATGCTGAGGTCTGGGGCACAAATGATCTCCTCACTCAGGCAGTGACCATAGTACCCAATAGGTATTTTTTTAGCTCTATCCACCCTCCTTCTCTCTTCCCTCTAGTAGTTGCAGTGTCTAGTCTTCCCATCTTTATATCCATGTGTACCCAATGCTCAGCTCCCACTTATACATGAGAACGTGATATTTGGTTTTCTGTTCTTATGTTAATTTGCTTATGATTATGGTCTCCAGCTCCATCCATGTTGCTGTAAAGGACATGATTTCATTCTTTTCATGGCTGCATAGTATTCCATGGTGTATATGTACCACATTTCCTTCATCCAGTCTACCGCTGATGGCCACCTAGGTTCATTCCATGGCTTTGCTACTGTGAATAGTGATGTGATGGACATGTGAGAGCATGTGTCTTTTTGGCAGAACAATTATTTTCCTTTGGGTAAATGCCCAGTAATGGAATTGCTGGGTGGAATCGTAGTTCTGTTTTAAATTATTTCAGAAATCTCCAAACTGCTTTCTGCATTAATTTTTCCATGAACTCATTTACACTCTGACCAACAGTGTATAGGTGTTCCATTTCCTCTGCAGCCTCACCAGCATCTTCTGTTTTTTGACATTTTAATAATAGCCACTCTGCAGCCAAGCTCTTTCAAGGCCAATGTGGAGAAGAGCCACAAACATTCCTTTTCCCGAAGAGAATTCTTGCCTGCCCACTGGTAGATTTCTTGGTTTCATCTGTCTTTCATTGTTTGTTTTTCAAAGAAAAACCAAAGGTAAAGTGATAATGATCTTCCACACCTGAACCAGTTTGTAGCCACCAGAGCCTGCTGGGAAGGGGCCCCTCACGCATGCATTGATCTTGTGACCTGGAATTTGAGAGATCAATAAGCCCCGTAGCAACCTACCATACAACTGCCCATCAGCGCTGATCCTTTCATGGGATTAGCTCAATTCTGGCTCTGCAGACACTGGCAGCCACAGTTGACAAACCCTGGGCCTCTGTGGGCTTCCTTTGTCACCCAGGGCCACAGTGGGCTGCCTGTCCTAGGCAGAGACGCAGCAACATTCTCTTAAACTGAAATTAAGCATAAATCCACTTCACCGATAATCATCTGAGGGCTCAGTCCCTGCCTCCTTCCTCGGGGATTTTAAAACACACATTTCTCTGACCAAACAGGTAGGTGAGATCTGACTTTAAAAGGAGGGAAAATCGGGTTGAATTGGGGTATCAGGAATGAATCCCAAGCATTTTTGTGTGGCGAGAGGCATCCACATCCCAAGCTGTACCTGGAGATGGAGAAAAATGCAGGAGAGAAGAAGAGAAAACAAAGGGGGACAACGAGCCCTGGTTGCTTTGCCAAGGTCTTGGGCACAGACAGGGCCGGCTCTGGCTGGGAGCTGCTGCTCTAGGGGTTGGGAGAGTTCTGTTCATCCATGGTGCTCAGCAGCAGGGACTGGGGGCCGTGGTAGGTGCAGATGCCCAGACTCTCAAGCTTGCTCCTTGCATGGCTGGCAGGGGCATTGCTCCTTGTCACCAGGTGACTGCACAGGGCAGCTGTCATGGACATCCAGGGGGCCATCCAGAGCATCACTGATGAGCATGTTGAATGCTTTGGGGCCATCGTCATGTTGGCCCCAGTTGCACACATGGTATCTTCTCTTTGCTTGGGGCGAAGGGGGCGGGGAGGGGCGGGGATAGTCTGCCATGCTCAGAGTTGTAATCATTCAGCAGCTGCTCCATATATTCTAAATCCTTGCACAGGAAGGCTCCTCGGCCCAACTCCCCCAGGCTGGCCACACAGACACTGGGCTCCATTCCCAAGTCTTTGGTGGCTGCTGTGTCAGCTGGTGTCAGAGGCCCCAGGGTCAGCAATGAGTGGGGGTCTTGTGCTGCTTCTGCTAGGCCCAGCCAAGGGGCTGCTCTGTGCCTCCTGGGAGTCCCAGGGTCACTGCCACCTTAAGGGCCACATGCCATAGCTGGAAGTCACTATATGTTTGGGGAAGAGTTGGAGATCGGGAAACCATTCCCTCATAACAAGGTAGTAAATAGTTTGGCAAAAAACTGAAGATAAAGTGGCAGTGCTGAGTAATCATGGGCTTCCTACAGGTGATCGGGTTGATTTCTTGTTGCCACTGCCTGGCCTGAAGACAGTGCTTGGCTCAGCGGTGGCAGCAGACGAAGCAGCAGCTCAAGAGGATGATGATGGTGGCCCACACCAGCCAGAGCCACAGCAGTGTTTTTTGTCACAGGTGTAGCTTGGATTGTTGGTACCACACAGGCTTATCCCATGGGGGTTCACCCTGGGTTGACAGGGGCTGGGCAGCACCTGGAGGACCAGGAACACCACCCACACCCCCACACACACACCACCCAGACCATCTCCTCTGCAAGCCCCTCCTGCTCCTGCTCCTCCATCACAGCACTGCCCTCCTTCTGCTTCCTCTCCTCCTCTGCCCTCCAGAACAGTGGTCTTAAAGAGGTTTCTTGGCCTTGGCACTTCTGTGGGCTCCCAATGTGCTGATGTGTGACACGCTGGCATGCTTGGCAAGACCTCACTGCTGCCTTTGACTACACAGGGTCCTCTCTGTACCCAGAGCAAACATATGCAAGGAAACCCCAGCACTGACCGAATCAGCTTCCTCGGAGGCCCCTCTCCACATGTGCTCCTGCTAACCCAGTCTGTACTCCCCACAAGCTGATGTCCTGCTTGGAGATGATCGTGCTGGCCCTCTTGCCCAACAACTGGCTCCTGTGTCTGGAGGGGAGAAGACAAATCCTTGGTCTCCATCCCTCATGTTCTTGAGAAGTCTGCCTTTTATTCCTCCACAGAATAATACCAACATGTTTACACTATTCCTATGTATAGACATTTTCCCATTTAGTTTTCTCTCCCCTCCGGAGTGGTTATTAATCCAGCGGTACAGATAAGAAAACAGGTTCAAAGAGGCTTATTAGTTTACCCACGTCCCAAGCCCAGCAGATGGTAGGTCTGGGGTTGACTCCTCATTTGCCTGGCTTCAAAGCCCACGCTCTCTGTGCCCCGCCTCACATCCCGCTATGACTGTGGTCTGAGGTGATGACAAGTCCGTCAGCGCTGACCTCTGATGTTTCTCCAGCCCCCTGTCACTATCACCCATTCCCTTCCTCCCTGCATCTCCTGAGGGGCACCTCCCAATTGTCCCATTCCATGCGGCAAGACGACTGCTCTCAGAGAGCTCCTGGTTATGGCATTGCTCCCTACCCTCCCACAGTGATCAAACTAGAATTCAAGCTCCCTGGGGAAATGTAGGGTTCTCCTGGCACCACCCTTGCCCCCACTCCCAGTCTCATGCCTCTTCACTGCTCTCCTCCCCTGTCCCCTCCCCTGCTCAGAAGCCCTGGTGGCCCATCCAACAAGCCATGCGCCTCCTGCCTCTGTCTCTGGACACTATGGCACTCTCAGACTGGAAGCCGTTCCTAACCTCCCCTTCACCCTTTTCAGAAAAGTCTTCCTGATTCTTCCTTGTCCCCACCTCCCTTGGGTCTGGCTCTGCTGGCCCTCCCTCGGGTCTGAGGCAGCCATCCTCCTCCTGTCTCCGCTTGCCTCTGTCCTAGTCCTGCTCAGGTGCTCAGGTGCAATAGATGCGTCCATCCTGGCAATCAACTGTGTGCTCCTCAAGCGGGTACATCTTGTCTTACATATCCTGATATCTCCAGTGATTAAGCAAAGCCTGGGATGTAATAAGCACCCAGTGAGTGGAGGAATAAACATGGAGTGGAGGGAAATGTGCTGAGAAAAGAAAGACCCTTCCAGAAGAATGATTCTCAAAGAGTGGTCCCTAAGCCAGCAACACCAAAATCTCCTGGGAATTTAGGAGAAACACAAAAGCTAGGCCCTACCCCACACCCACCGAGTCAGATCTCCTGGGACAGGGCCCAACAAACAGCATATTTTTTTATTTGAGATAGGGTCTTGCTCTGTTGCCCAGGCTGAAGTGCAATGGCATGATCACTGCTCACTGCAGCCTTGACCTCCCAAGCTCAAGTGATCCTCCCACCTCAGCCTCCCAAGTAGCTAGGACCACAGGCGCACACCACAAACCCAGCTAATATTATTATTATTTGTAGAGATGGCAACCTCATATGTCGCTCAGGCTGGTCTCAAACTCCTAGGCTAAAGTGATCGCCTGCCCCTTTGCCTCCCAAGGTGCTGGGATTACAGGCGTGAGCCACCACACCCAGACAGCAACCTGCATTTTAACATATCTTCCAGGTCTTCTGATGCCCGCTGAAAACTTGAGATTGGATACGGTAATGACATCCTTAGGCCAGTATTGAAACCGCCATTGCAAAATTGTAACTGAGACAGTGAAACAGATCTGACCCAACCAACTCTATCTTGCGGTTTTTTTTGTTTTTGGTTTTGTTTTTTTTTTTTTTTTTTGGAGCCGGAGTCTCAATCTGTTGCCAGGCTGGAGTGCAGTGGCTCGATCTTGGCTCACTGCTACCTCCACCTCCCAGGTTCAAGTGATTCCCCTGCCTCAGCCTCCCCAGTAGCTGGAACTACAGGTGCACACCACCATGCCTGGCTAATTTTTTGTATTTTAGTAGAGGCGGGGTTTCACCATGTTGGCCGGGCTGGTCTCAAACTCCTGACCTCATGATCCACCTGCCTCTGCCTACCAAAGTACTGGGATTATGGGCGTGAACAACCGCGCCTGGCCTCCATCTTGCTTTTAACCTCCAAGCTGTCCTTATTCCTTCCCCAGCATAGGCTGAACTAACTTTGGGAAGAACTTAGTTTCTAGTTTGAAACAAAGACGGTAACAGTCCTTGCCCAAAACAAACCTCCTTTTTGCCTGGAGACTAGACTGTCTTATAGGACTAACAAATTTGCCAAAAGATTAGAAATTATGGTTTAGGAGTCACGTAGCTGGAGTCTGCAAGATTCCAAACCTCCCCAAATTGCTCCTGGGGATAACGTCACTATTGTAAAACCTAAGATCAGTGCTTGAGATATTTTAAAGACCCTGCACTTGATGCATCAGCTGGCACAACGCAGATCGATAAACTAGTTCATCTGATCTTGTGGCCCCCACTCAGGAACCGACTCAGCACAAGAAAGCAGCTGGGGTTTCATCTCCAACCCAACGGATCAGCACTCCCGACTCACTGCTTTCCCCTCCGCCCACCAAATTATCCTCTAAAACTCGGATCCTCGAATTCCCGGGGAGACGGCAAGATTTGATTTGAGTAATAGTAAAACTCCAGTCTCCCACACAGTCTGCTCTGGGTGAATTACTCTTTCTCTATGTCAATTCCCCTGTCTTGATAAATCGGTTCTGTCTATACAGCAGGCAAGGTGAACCTATTGGGCAGTTACGATATCTCTCTGAAAACAAGTCACTATTTTTTGTTTGTTTTTGTTTTTGTTTTGTTTTTGAGACAGAGTCTCTCTCTGTCGCCAGGCTGGAGTGCAATGGTGCGATCTCGGCTCACTGCAACCTCCGCCTCCCGGGTTCAAGCTATTCTCCTGCCTCAGCCTCCCAAGTAGCTGGGATTACAGGCAAGCGCCACCACGCCCGGCTAATTTTTTGTATTTTTAGTAGAGACAGGGTTTCACCATGTTAGCCAGGCTGGTCTCGAACTCCTGACCTCAGGTGATCCACCCGCGTCCGCCTCCCAAAGTGCTGGGATTACAGACGTGAGCCACCGCGCCCGGCTTCAGTCACTAACATTTTTACTGACTCTTCTGGCACCATGATTAACCCCGACACGCACTATCGCATGCAATTCTCACAACCCCATGAGGTAGGTATTATTATTGCTCCTAGCTTACAGATAAAGAGACAGAGTTTAAGAGGTTTAGCCACGCTACGGGGCTGCTGGGAGCCCGGCAGTCTGGCCACAGGAGGTCGGTTTCACGGAAGGGCAGGATGTGGCGGCATCTCCTGAATTTAAGGAGTCTTGGGGGCGCGGTGCTTCTCTGTCATTGGGCAACTCATTTTAGCCTCTTGGGGTTTCAGTTCCTCAACTGAGAACAAGGAATTTAGGTTGAAATGAACATGCTGGAAAGCTTTCAAGAATTGCACACGTGAAATGCTCTTTGCGTGTCTCCCGGTCTCCCACCCGCCCCCGACACAGAGGCGCAGGAGTAACCCTGCTCCCTTCCGCGTCCTCGCCCCACCACGAGCTGCGCATTCTTCTCGCCCCCTCAAGTGGCCGAGCTCAGATTGCAGTTACTTAGGTCTAAAAAAATAAGGAAAGGCTGCCCCCTGCTGCCCACATGGATGCATGACCCCAACCTGATACCTGCCTAACTGGTCTTCCTAGCTTTTATGGAAAAAACGCTGCATATGAGCTTGGGCATACCGTCCAGAGAGGCAAAACTGGGACAAACTCCATCGGAATTCTAAAAAACCATGATGCCAAGACAGAGTGGCATTATTATTTATAAGGCCAGTAGGGATGAGGGCCCCCACTAGGTGATTAAAAGACACTAACTTAGAGGATGAATTATTGATAAGTAAACGAGGTGAGTAAGGCAGGAAAACATGCAGAAATAGATCAAAATAAACTGAATATTTCAATTAGGAAAGGTACTGGCAAGAGGCTTTGACACAATCCAATGGATGAAAGCAATCAACTTTTTTTTTTTTTTTTTTTTGACAGAGTCTCACTCTGTCGCCCAGGCTGGAGTGCAGTGACTCAATCTCGGCTCACTGCAACCTCCACCTCATGGGTTCAAGCGATTCTCCTCCCTCAGCCTCCCGAGTAGCTGGGACTACAGGCGCACACCACCATGCCCGGCTAATTTTTTTGTATTTTTAGTAGAGACAGGGTTTCACCGTGTTAGCCAGGATGGTCTCGAACTCCTGACCTCATGATTCGCCCTCCTCGGCCTCCCAAAGTGCTGAGATTACAGGCGTGAGCCACTGCACCTGGCTGCAATCAACTTTTTATGCAGGCATTTGGTAGCATGTTGCGAGGTCCATCACTATTAATGCCGTGAATATACCAAATCCTCTTTTTCTTTCTTCCCTAAGTTCTAAGGGCCATGCCCTGGCACCAAACTTATGGCAGTCCTAGACTACCCTCTGATGTTCACCATGGCTTACCTCTGCCCTGTTCTAGTTGGGGACAAGCTGTGGGTCCCAAGCCTGGCATTGTAACAGAAACGCCCAGGGTAATTTTCTGTTTGTTTATTTAAATAAATAAATAAGTAAACTCAGTCTTGGAGATTTTAACTCAATAGGTCATGAAGACTACTCAGAAATCTACATTTTTCACAGTTGTCCAAGTGATTAAGTCCTCACTGAGCAAATTCAGGACAAGGAAACAACTTCTTACATAAATTCTACATAACTTCATACATAACTTCACACATAAACTTCTTTGGCAAAAAAAATGACTTTGTAAATTAAACAAGTAGGTTTTTAAAGTAGCATATTTTATTTAAAGCCAAATTTTCTTGATTTTTAAAATTAACTTAAGTTTGACTTTCAATAGACAATAGAGCTATATGACTCTAAAATGGAAACAACCCAGTAACGTTGACACTGGGAAATGTAACTTTTACTTCCGCTCTGTTTCTGTCTACTCCACCCATTCTTTCTTTTCTTTTTTTTTTTTTTTTTTTTTTTTTTTGTTTTGATAGAGTCTCACCGTGTCGCCCAGGCTGGAGTACAGTGGCGTGATCTTGGCTCACTGGAACCTCCGCCTCCTGGGTTCAAGTGATTCTTCTACCTCAGCAGCCTCTCAAGTAGCTGGGATTATAGTCACCTGCCACCACGCCCAGCTAATTTTTTTTTTTTTTTTTTTTTGTACTTTCAGTGAAGATGGGGTTTTGCTGTGTTGGTCAGGCTGGTCTCGAACTCCTGGCCTCAGGTGATCTGCCTGCCTTGGCCTTCCAAAGTGCTGAGATTACAGGGGTGAGCCACCGCACGTGGCCTACTCCACTCATTCTTAATAGGTCATCACTCTTGTCAGTTTCTGTTGTATCTTTACAGTGTTTCTGTATACAAAATGTATACAAAATCAAGTAAATACAAAAGTATAATTCTTCTTTTCCCCCCTCTGTTAGACAAAGGTGGCATCTAGTTATGCTATTCTGAGACTTTCTCTTTTCTGGGTTAATAATGTATCTTAGAGAATTTTCCATAGCAATATAAAATATTTTGATTCTTTTTTTAGCATTGAATATTACTCCATTGTGTGAACATATCACAGTTTATCCAGTCCCTTACTGATGGGCATATAATTCAATTTTGTCAGTCAAATTAGTGAAAAGTGTATTTTGATGAAGTTTTTTTAATTTTATTTTTCTTATTGTGATTTTTTTTCCCTTATAGTTAGGTACCATTTGGATTTATTTTTCTCTGAACAATTTACTCTTCACCTATTTTTATTGGGCTGCTGGATTATTTTCCTATTGATTTTTAGGAGTTCACCACATGTTGAGGAGATTAGCCCTGATGGTGAGAACTAGGAATATTTTTCCCAGATTGTTATGTATATTTTGATTCTGTTTATATTTTACCATGCGAGTGTGTCATCATTATGTCGTTGTTTGTCTTTTTTTTTTTTTTTTCTGGATTTTAAGTCATAGCTTAAAACCCTCCGAGTGACGCACAGCCTCGGGGCAGGGCCAGGGTAGTGATGGGGGCTGTGGCTTCTCTATAAGGACATGCCCCAACGTGACAACAGCTTGGAGAGGGGTGGGTACTGGAGAAGACCAGCCCCTTCGCCAAACAGCCTTACAAAGACATCCAGCTCTAAGGAGCTCAAAACATCCTGAGGACAGTGCCTGGAGGTGAGAAGGAAGCCCCCGGCCTGGTCCATACCCCACCACCAACTTGCATAATGGGGGGTGATGTCACCCACCCTCCACTCCCCTCAAAGGAGCAGCTGCTCTGGTGGTCTCTCCCAGGCTCTGGGGGCGGACCCATGGGAGGGGCTGTTTTTGTACAAAGCTGTAACATTGTGGGGACAGGGGGCCACAATGATTCAACTCTACGGGAAACCTTTACAAAAACCTCTCTGGCGGTCCCAACTCCCAGAGTCCTCTTCTTTCCTCCTGGGTCACAGGTCTTAATGCAATTTGGTTCAGAATGCCTCTGCCTCACTCCTGATCACATGTCAGACCAAGACTGTGGACAAGGACAGGCCCAGATGAGAACTAAAGCTTCCCAGGCAGAGAGAGGTCAGACATAAGAAGACTGCCTCAGGAACCTCACAAGTGGAGGACTCAGGGAGGGTCCCAATCCCCAAAAATTGAGACAAAGTCAGGTGGAAGGTTCATCGGAGGTGACCAGCTCTCCAGAGGACTCGGGAAGAAGTCAGGGGTATCTATAGATGGAGTCACAGGTTCTGGGCCCCTGCCATCCTCTGCAGGCCATGCACTTTCCCTTTCGATGGACCCTCACAGAGGGAGCATCTGAATGGGGCATCCTTTGAAAAAGGAACCTAGGACCCTGTGGATGGACTCTGTCATTCTCCATGGTCCTAAAAAGCAAAAGTCAAAGTGTTCTTCTGTGTAATACCCATAAAGCACAGGAGGAGATTTCTTAGCTCACTGTCCTCCATCCTAGCCAGGGCCCTCTCCCCTCTCTATGCCTTCAATGTGATTTTCACCTTGACCCCTGTCACTGTGTGAACACTGAAGCTTTCTTTGGACAAGGCACCAGACTCACAGTTGTAGGTAAGACATTTTTCAGGTTCTTTTGCAGATCCGTCACAGGGAAAAGTGGGTCCACAGTGTCCCTTTTAGAGTGGCTATATTCTTATGTGCTAACTATGGCTACACCTTCGGTTCGGGGACCAGGTTAACCGTTGTAGGTAAGGCTGGGGGTCTCTAGGAGGGGTGCGATGAGGGAGGACTCTGTCCTGGGAAATGTCAAAGAGAACAGAGATCCCAGCTCCCGGAGCCAGACTGAGGGAGACGTCATGTCATGTCCCGGGATTGAGTTCAGGGGAGGCTCCCTGTGAGGGCGAATCCACCCAGGCTTCCCAGAGGCTCTGAGCAGTCACAGCTGAGCCCAGGGTGATGGGGCAGAAGAGGGAAGGGGAGGGGGCCTCTCCTCATAGTTCCCTGAGATAGCCCAGAGAAAGCCCGGTGGGTAATGAATGAGCCACAACACCTCTCCATCTATCTGCTTCACTGACAGAGGTTCTCTGTAGATTCTTCGTATATTCCTGTGCTGGATTTTATAGGAGGCCACTCTGTGTCTCTTTTTGTCACCTGCCTGAGTCTTGGGCAAGCTCTGGAAGGGAACACAGAGTACTGGAAGCAGAGCTGCTGTCCCTGTGAGGGAAGAGTTCCCATGAACTCCCAACCTCTGCCTGAATCCCAGCTGTGCTCAGCAGAGACTGGGGGGTTTTGAAGTGGCCCTGGGAGGCTGTGCTCTGGAAACACCATATATTTTGGAGAGGGAAGTTGGCTCACTGTTGTAGGTGAGTAAGTCAAGGCTGGACAGCTGGGAACTTGCAAAAAGGGGCTGGAATCCAGACGGAGCCTTTGTCTCTAGTGCTTAGGTGAAAGTGTATTTTTGTCAGGAAGGCCTATGAGGCAGATGAGGAGGGGATAGCCTCCCTCTCCTCTCCACTATTTTGTAGACTGCCTGTGCCAAGTTAGGTTCCCCTACTGAGAGATGGGTAGACTCAGCTTGGAAGGGGTCACCTTGAACATCTCCTGTCTCCTTGAAGGGTGCCGGTCACGGCCATGACAGATAAAAGAGCCTCTGACCTTACCACCACGGTCCTACCGTTTCTCTCCCTCACACAGAAAGGAGAAGGTCACAGAAGAGGGAACTTGGGGGATCACACGGGGCCTAATTGGTCTGCTGACCACCGCATTTTGGGTTGTACCATTGTCTACCCCTCTACCCACCAGGGTTAAAATTCTACTAAGGAACAGGAGAGGACCTGGCAGGTGGACTTGGGGAGGCAGGAGTGGAAGGCAGCAGGTCGCGGTTTTCCTTCCAGTCTTTAATGTTGTGCAACTAATGAAAAACTGTTTTTTGGCAGTGGAACCCAGCTCTCTGTCTTGGGTATGTAAAAGACTTCTTTCGGGATAGTGTATCATAAGGTCGGAGTTCCAGGAGGACCCCTTGCGGGAGGGCAGAAACTGAGAACACAGCCAAGAAAAGCTCATAAAATGTGGGTCAGTGGAGTGTGTGGTGGGGCCCCAAGAGTTCTGTGTGTAAGCAGCTTCTGGAAGGAAGGGCCCACACCAGCTCCTCTGGGGTTTGCCACACTCATGATGCACTGTGTAGCAATCAGCCCCAGCATTTTGGTGATGGGACTCGACTCTCCATCCTAGGTAAGTTGCAGAATCAGGGTGGTATGGCCATTGTCCCTTGAAGGCAGAGTTCTCTGCTTCTCCTCCCGGTGCTGGTGAGGCAGATTGAGTAAAATCTCTTACCCCATGGGGTAAGAGCTGTGCCTGTGCCTGCGTTCCCTTTGGTGTGTCTTGGTTGACTCCTCTATTTCTCTTCTCTAAGTCTTCAGTCCATAATCTGCCTCCTCACTCCCTTCTTGGCTCATCCTCCCTCTTATGTGCATGGCTCTGCCTCTCCTAAGCCTCTTCCTCTTGCGCCTTATGCTGCACAGTATGCTTAGGCCTTTTTCCTAACAGAATCCCTTTGGTCCAGAGCCATGAATCCAGGCAGAGAAAGGCAGCCATCCTGCTGTCAGGGAGCTAAGACTTGCCCTCTGACTGGAGATCGCCGGGTGGGTTTTATCTAAGCCTCTGCAGCTGTGCTCCTATAATTCACCCCTCCACTTTGGGAATGGGACCAGGCTCACTGTGACAGGTATGGGGGCTCCACTCTTGACTCGGGGGTGCCTGGGTTTGACTGCAATGATCAGTTGCTGGGAAGGGAATTGAGTGTAAGAACGGAGGTCAGGGTCACCCCTTCTTACCTGGAGCACTGTGCCCTCTCCTCCCCTCCCTGGAGCTCTTCCAGCTTGTTGCTCTGCTGTGTTGCCTGCAGTTCCTCAGCTGTAGAGCTCCTTGCTTAGTCTTCAGGGCTGTGTGTTTCTTTGCTCTTCTTTTCATTGTTTTCTGGGACTCTTCTCATCTCTACTTTCTTAGTGGATGTATTGTTTTACTTTCCCTTTTTTAAATTGCATCTTCTCCATTTTTTCCTTCCCATTCTAACTCCACTTCTGCATTGTTGACTCCTTTTGGTGACTAGCTCTGTCTTCTATGTTAAGATTCTCCCCACTGCCAGCCTCCAGCACAGAACTCTGCTCATGTCTTCATCTCCCTCCTTCTTTCTTTCTCTACCAGTCTTAGAAGATGCATCTATGTCTTCCTGAGGTAGTTTGAAGGTTCATGAGCCAGGCATGACCAGGTTGGGGAGACAGGTGGTTTCAGGGTTGCTCTTGAGGCCTGAGGGCAGAAGTCCCTGTCACAGCATTGGGCGAGCTGCAGGGAGTCTCTGAGGTGCCTGTGTTTGGCAGGTGTTTGGGAGATAGGTCTGAAGAGAGTGTTACAACTGGAAACTGACATTATCTTAGCAACAGATAAGGTATAAAGAAGACAAAATGGGTAGGAGACTCTATTTTCTTTTTTTCTGAGACGGTGTCTAGCTCTATTGCCCAGGCTGGAGTGCAGTGGCACGATCTCGGCTCACTGCAACCTCCGCCTCCTGGGTTTGAGCGATTCTCCTCCCTTGGCCTCCCGAGTAGCTGGGATTACAGGTGCCTGCCACCAAACCCAGCTACTTTTTGCATTTTTAGTAGAGATAGGGTTTCACTGTGTTAGCCGGGCTGTTCTCAAACTCCTGACCTCGTGATCCGCCTGCCTTGGCCTCCCAAAGTGCTGGGATTACAAATGTGAGCCACTGCACCCAGCCAAGACTCCATTCTCTTAAGCCTCAGAATCTATGCTAGAACAATAGGGTAAAGGCCCCACCAGGAAGCCCTAGTACAACCTTCCCCATGCTGGGGAGGAAGCAGACAGGCGGTGGAGCGGGGTTGGGATGGGATGAGGTCTAGGATGGAGACATAGACAAGGGTGGAGGAATGGGACTCATAGGGTCTACCAAAGTTTAGGGGCTTGGGCAGACATTAGTGTAGGTGGGGACACACACCAAGACGTTGAGTGGAAAGTACAAATCACCAGATTCAAAGGCCTGGGTTCAAGGGGCTGTGGTGGGGGAGGTGTGCAATTTGAAAAGCAACTTAAGCTGCCTCCTCTCTAAGACATAGAAACAGAAGAGACTAACTTATATGAAAATCCTTTGTAAAGGATTTTGTAAAGGACTCAACTTGTGGTGACAATCCTTTTCATTCCTGTTGTTTATGATCACTAGGTCACAGGGTTTGCCTTTTTCCAAACCTGCATCTCAATTTTCCCATCAAAAACATTTCCCAAATTTGGATAAAGAACCCATATCTAGACTTGCCACATTTCTGCACCAAAAGCTCACTCTCATGGTTGGAACAGAGCCAAGCAAAGGGCACAGTAAATTGTGGTTTCTTCCACTCCTCATGTGTCTTCAGATGAAATCATTCTTTCCAATAATCCCAGAAATTCTTTCTCTCCTCTCTCAAGCATGTGAAAAGGTCCAGAGCTCTGCAGTGTGAGCTTTCTACTGAAATGGCCCTTGGACTTTGTGGTTCATTCATACTCAGTGGTCTAGCTTGTACTACTTTTGAGAATGCAAAGCTTAACTGTGGACGGATTCCAATCCTGGCCAGGCAGGGTTGCTGGACACTCTGAGAGAAGAAAGGGTTAATCCCATGACCATCAACTTCCATGGGATTTCAGCCATCCTGGACAAGCTACCACACCCTCCTGCCCCAGGGGAGGAGGAAATGTGGACCATCCCATCAGATATTGACCAGGTTTGGCTCTTTAAAGAGGGTTACATGCAAGAAAATAAAATTTTTTAAAAAGGTGCTGGGCAGGTGGGGGACTCAGATGTAATGGAAAAGTGTCTTTTCTAGAAAAGAAAAGCTAATTCTAATATGTGTCACTACCCCACGAGACAAATATATACATCTTGATTTAAAAAAGGAAAATTATAATTAGAAAAAGTCAATTTAGTTATTGTAATTATACCACTAATGAGAGTTTCCTACCTCGAGTTTCAGGATTACATAGCCATGCACCAAGCAAGGCTTTGAAAAATAAAGATACACAGATAAATTATTTGGATAGATGATCAGACAAGCCTCAGTAAAAACAGCCAAGACAATCAGGATATAATGTGACCATAGGAAGCTGGGGAGACAGTAGGCAATGTGCATCCATGGGACAGCATAGAAAGGAGGGGCAAAGTGGAGAGAGAGCAACAGACACTGGGATGGTGACCCCAAAACAATGAGGGCCTAGAATGACATAGTTGTGCTTCATTACGGCCCATTCCCAGGGCTCTCTCTCACACACACAGAGCCCCTACCAGAACCAGACAGCTCTCAGAGCAACCCTGGCTCCAACCCCTCTTCCCTTTCCAGAGGACCTGAACAAGGTGTTCCCACCCGAGGTCGCTGTGTTTGAGCCATCAGAAGCAGAGATCTCCCACACCCAAAAGGCCACACTGGTGTGCCTGGCCACAGGCTTCTTCCCTGACCACGTGGAGCTGAGCTGGTGGGTGAATGGGAAGGAGGTGCACAGTGGGGTCAGCACGGACCCGCAGCCCCTCAAGGAGCAGCCCGCCCTCAATGACTCCAGATACTGCCTGAGCAGCCGCCTGAGGGTCTCGGCCACCTTCTGGCAGAACCCCCGCAACCACTTCCGCTGTCAAGTCCAGTTCTACGGGCTCTCGGAGAATGACGAGTGGACCCAGGATAGGGCCAAACCCGTCACCCAGATCGTCAGCGCCGAGGCCTGGGGTAGAGCAGGTGAGTGGGGCCTGGGGAGATGCCTGGAGGAGATTAGGTGAGACCAGCTACCAGGGAAAATGGAAAGATCCAGGTAGCAGACAAGACTAGATCCAAAAAGAAAGGAACCAGCGCACACCATGAAGGAGAATTGGGCACCTGTGGTTCATTCTTCTCCCAGATTCTCAGCCCAACAGAGCCAAGCAGCTGGGTCCCCTTTCTATGTGGCCTGTGTAACTCTCATCTGGGTGGTGCCCCCCAGCCCCCTCAGTGCTGCCACATGCCATGGATTGCAAGGACAATGTGGCTGACATCTGCATGGCAGAAGAAAGGAGGTGCTGGGCTGTCAGAGGAAGCTGGTCTGGGCCTGGGAGTCTGTGCCAACTGCAAATCTGACTTTACTTTTAATTGCCTATGAAAATAAGGTCTCTCATTTATTTTCCTCTCCCTGCTTTCTTTCAGACTGTGGCTTTACCTCGGGTAAGTAAGCCCTTCCTTTTCCTCTCCCTCTCTCATGGTTCTTGACCTAGAACCAAGGCATGAAGAACTCACAGACACTGGAGGGTGGAGGGTGGGAGAGACCAGAGCTACCTGTGCACAGGTACCCACCTGTCCTTCCTCCGTGCCAACAGTGTCCTACCAGCAAGGGGTCCTGTCTGCCACCATCCTCTATGAGATCCTGCTAGGGAAGGCCACCCTGTATGCTGTGCTGGTCAGCGCCCTTGTGTTGATGGCCATGGTAAGCAGGAGGGCAGGATGGGGCCAGCAGGCTGGAGGTGACACACTGACACCAAGCACCCAGAAGTATAGAGTCCCTGCCAGGATTGGAGCTGGGCAGTAGGGAGGGAAGAGATTTCATTCAGGTGCCTCAGAAGATAACTTGCACCTCTGTAGGATCACAGTGGAAGGGTCATGCTGGGAAGGAGAAGCTGGAGTCACCAGAAAACCCAATGGATGTTGTGATGAGCCTTACTATTTGTGTGGTCAATGGGCCCTACTACTTTCTCTCAATCCTCACAACTCCTGGCTCTTAATAACCCCCAAAACTTTCTCTTCTGCAGGTCAAGAGAAAGGATTTCTGAAGGCAGCCCTGGAAGTGGAGTTAGGAGCTTCTAACCCGTCATGGTTTCAATACACATTCTTCTTTTGCCAGCGCTTCTGAAGAGCTGCTCTCACCTCTCTGCATCCCAATAGATATCCCCCTATGTGCATGCACACCTGCACACTCACGGCTGAAATCTCCCTAACCCAGGGGGACCTTAGCATGCCTAAGTGACTAAACCAATAAAAATGTTCTGGTCTGGCCTGACTCTGACTTGTGAATGTCTGGATAGCTCCTTGGCTGTCTCTGAACTCCCTGTGACTCTCCCCATTCAGTCAGGATAGAAACAAGAGGTATTCAAGGAAAATGCAGACTCTTCACGTAAGAGGGATGAGGGGCCCACCTTGAGATCAATAGCAGAGGTTAATTCAGCGTGAAAGGCAGTGATGGGAGCTGAAGAGGTTACTTCTAGAACAGTCTAGGAAGACACAGATGTTGAGTATAGGAATTTTCTATATCCAACTATACTGTTCTGCCCAGGAAAGACGTGCTCAGAGGAAGAGCCAACCTATACAGGTGTGTTCACCCTCCAGCTGGCCATGTCCCCGTGACTAACAAAGCTGGATTCCATAAGCATCACCCACCTTCCTTGCAGCTTTCTTATTGAGCACTCCATTCATCTTCATTGGTTCACCAAGTTGATTTCCCAGCTCCAAAGAAGAGAGGCTCTGACTTGCAAACTTATTTTCAATGGAAGATGTGTCTTCCGGTTTAAGTTACCCATCTGTTTATAAATCTCTCTCTAGTGAATTAAACCAGAATGAAAATGTCCCCTAATCATTCCTGGAAGGTTAGAAAATAAAGGTATCTAAAACTGAGAATCAGCCCCATTCCTACTTCTAGAATTCCTTCAAAAGCTCCTTCTGTTGTCTCACTGTCACCATGGTGATGGAGTCCCAAATCCCAAAGGTGGCACAGAAGACCGGATGATTATCCTTGTCTCCTTCCACACTCTCCTCACTTCTCTCATCCCTGAAGCCCCTGAGCTGCTTCTTTCAGGCCGCTTTGCACATGCTCTTCCTCCTGGGGTGACAAAGTACTCTTCTCCCCATGATAACTCCTGCTTAGACTTAAAGATTTAGCTCCAATGTCTTCCCCTCCAAAAAGCTTTCTCTGGCCCTTTCTTGCCTCTTCCTTACCTCTTCCTCCCTTGAGGCTGGATTAAATACACCTTTATTTTGCTATCACAGTGCCTTGTGCATAACCTTCTTTGTGATACATCACACTTGCTGGAAACTACCTCTTTATTTGTCTGACACCCCCAGGGACTATGAACTCCTTGTTAACAAGGATACATTTTAAGATAGTATCCCAGGGCTATAGTATAGTAACCTCAGTTTAGTGTAGACACCACATAGGTATGTATGAATAAATAAATGAATAAATGAGTGAACCCAAACTGACCCAATCCAGGAGCAATCATCACCGTAAGTCCTGCCTGAAATAGCCATTACCCTTCCATTTATAGGACTACACCACACAGTCTTCCCTCTTTATTGCAACACATACATGCATTCAAAGATGCGTGTGTGCATGTATGCACACGCGTGTATATGTTTATATTTACACACATGTACACACATCCACTCATTAAACACATATCCCTGTGATGTGTTGTTATCAACTTCCAAGAAAATTAAGATACCCAAATTACAGTCCCCAAGAAGCGTATCTGTTCACAGAGCAACTCAATCATGAACAGAAAGAGCCAAACGCAAGTCCATGCTTTGAAAGAGCAACATGAACTGCTTACTAAAATGCAGTCAGAGAGTGGCCCTCAATTTCTCACTGGGATAATCAGTAAAGAGTCTGAGAAGGTGGCAATCTCTTCAAAGGAAGAATTGGTCTCAGTTGTTCACTCTAGAGAATGGCCATGCTGGTCAGAGGCATGAACAAAAGCCCTAATGACATGGCTAGGTACCTCTGGGTAGGCCCGTTTAGCTGGTTGCAAGGTTCAGAAATGGGAGTGCTCAAAATTAGCGCTGGAAAGGCAGGTTGGTGCATGCCACTCTGGGAATAAACTTACCTCCATGCAACCAGCATGGAGCCTGCACATGGTGGATGTTCACTAAACACCTGTGGAGTAAATGAAGAATATGGAGTTCAGACATCGTTCAGGAAGCAACTGAACAAAGGGAAATTATAGAGGTTTCTGGATTGTTTGTCCTCCTGTCATAAGGTGCCATCAACTGCTCTGTGGATTTTCCTATGAGCTGCCTGCCACCCCTCGCTCCTCCCACCCACTTCACTATAAATGCCAGTCTGAGCAGGTGGGCACAGTGAGCCCCACCAGGGAGACCCAGTGACATAGATGGTCTGCTCAGGGTGATGCATGTTCCAAGGAGGGACCTCTCTGCCCCCCACCATTACCATCACTGTGACTTTCCCCAAGCCCTTCCCATTTTAATTCACTGCCTTTGTCTTTTCCAAGCCCCACACAGTCAGACTAACCTCTGCCACCTGCGCTTCCTGCCGCTGCCCAGTGGTTGGGGGAGGGGGACTAGCAGGGAGGAAACATTTTTGTATCATGGTGTAACATTGTGGGGACTAGCGGGAGGGCACGATGATTCAGGTAGAGGAGGTGCTTTTACAAAAAACCCTGATGCAGTAAGCATCCCCACCCAGCTCAGGGAATGCAGCTACCAGGTGGGAAGAGTTCTCTGGGGCTGGTCCCAGCTGTGGTCTTGCAGGGTCCCCCAACCCAGCGAGCACCTGTCCATCTCCCTGTCCAGACTCGGCTTCCAAGGAATAAGAAGGCCAAGACAGCAAAGTGGGATTATCACTCAGCACTTTTAATAAAACTTGTTCTTGACAAAGTACTTGCACATGCATTATTTATTAAGAACTGATGAAAACCCTGAGGGAAAGATATTGTCCCATCTTTCCAATGAGGAAACTGAGATCAGAGGTTACAGGTCATATAACTAGGAAACGGCAAGGTCTAGCCTGCAATATCGCCCAGCTCCAGCCGTTCCAGTACCACCAATGCCCCTTCAGATTTCAAATCCACTGTGTTGTCCCCCAGCCAAGTGGATTCTCCTCTGCAAATTGGTGGTGGCCTCATGCAAGATCCAGGTTACCGTGTCCAGCTAACTCGAGACAGGAAAAGATAGGCTCAGGAAAGAGAGGAAGGGTGTGCCCTCTGTCTGTGCTAAGGGAGGTGGGGAAGGAGAAGGAATTCTGGGCAGCCCCTTCCCACTGTGCTCCTACAATGAGCAGTTCTTCGGGCCAGGGACACGGCTCACCGTGCTAGGTAAGAAGGGGGCTCCAGGTGGGAGAGAGGGTGAGCAGCCCAGCCTGCACGACCCCAGAACCCTGTTCTTAGGGGAGTGGACACTGGGCAATCCAGGGCCCTCCTCGAGGGAAGCGGGGTTTGCGCCAGGGTCCCCAGGGCTGTGCGAACACCGGGGAGCTGTTTTTTGGAGAAGGCTCTAGGCTGACCGTACTGGGTAAGGAGGCGGTTGGGGCTCCGGAGAGCTCCGAGAGGGCGGGATGGGCAGAGGTAAGCAGCTGCCCCACTCTGAGAGGGGCTGTGCTGAGAGGCGCTGCTGGGCGTCTGGGCGGAGGACTCCTGGTTCTGGGTGCTGGGAGAGCGATGGGGCTCTCAGCGGTGGGAAGGACCCGAGCTGAGTCTGGGACAGCAGAGCGGGCAGCACCGGTTTTTGTCCTGGGCCTCCAGGCTGTGAGCACAGATACGCAGTATTTTGGCCCAGGCACCCGGCTGACAGTGCTCGGTAAGCGGGGGCTCCCGCTGAAGCCCCGGAACTGGGGAGGGGGCGCCCCGGGACGCCGGGGGCGTCGCAGGGCCAGTTTCTGTGCCGCGTCTCGGGGCTGTGAGCCAAAAACATTCAGTACTTCGGCGCCGGGACCCGGCTCTCAGTGCTGGGTAAGCTGGGGCCGCCGGGGGACCGGGGACGAGACTGCGCTCGGGTTTTTGTGCGGGGCTCGGGGGCCGTGACCAAGAGACCCAGTACTTCGGGCCAGGCACGCGGCTCCTGGTGCTCGGTGAGCGCGGGCTGCTGGGGCGCGGGCGCGGGCGGCTTGGGTCTGGTTTTTGCGGGGAGTCCCCGGGCTGTGCTCTGGGGCCAACGTCCTGACTTTCGGGGCCGGCAGCAGGCTGACCGTGCTGGGTGAGTTTTCGCGGGACCACCCGGGCGGCGGGATTCAGGTGGAAGGCGGCGGCTGCTTCGCGGCACCCGGTCCGGCCCTGTGCTGGGAGACCTGGGCTGGGTCCCCAGGGTGGGCAGGAGCTCGGGGAGCCTTAGAGGTTTGCATGCGGGGGTGCACCTCCGTGCTCCTACGAGCAGTACTTCGGGCCGGGCACCAGGCTCACGGTCACAGGTGAGATTCGGGCGTCTCCCCACCTTCCAGCCCCTCGGTCCCCGGAGTCGGAGGGTGGACCGGAGCTGGAGGAGCTGGGTGTCCGGGGTCAGCTCTGCAAGGTCACCTCCCCGCTCCTGGGGAAAGACTGGGGAAGAGGGAGGGGGTGGGGAGGTGCTCAGAGTCCGGAAAGCTGAGCAGAGGGCGAGGCCACTTTTAATCTTTTTTCTGGGGTGTTTAGAGAGAAGGTGAACGATGGAGGAGAGGATTTGTTAGGACTCTGGGAGAGGCGAGACTGGAGAGGACGAAGGGAAATCCTGGTTTGGGGAATGGGTAGGAGTGGGGGTAACTGCTATTCGTAGGCAAAAAGAGCTGAGCAGGCTGGGAACAGCGCGGGTGGGCAAGGGTCAGCACTGCGGGCAGGCGGGTGGGTGTTAGGGGGCAGAAATCCTGCAGCCGAGGGTGCAGTAGAACACAGAAGAAAAAGCCTGCCAAACAAAAGTGGAACAGAGAAGCCAAAAAGGGAGATGAACATGAGTCAGTGAAGAAAAGAATGAAAGTTTACTGTTTAGCAGTGTGGATCTCTAATCCGACTTAAAACTCCTTGTTCCCGATTCCTATTCCTCCTAAGCCAGAGATCCCTGGGTCCAGGGTGAGGGCACGGCATTCATGCTTACCCACGGGCTGGTCAACAAAGAGGTGCTGACCTGAGAGTAGGGCACATAACCTCAGCCACTGGGGTACACTTACCACCCCCGCCCCCGTGTAGCTCCCTCCCCTATCCTGAAATCTCCCTTAGCACACTAAGTATTCTAGGTTAAACAGCCCAGATGTTCAGGGAGTTCATTCGCCACAAACACACATTAAAATGCAGACAATTTGCCTGTGAGATGAGGAAAATTCTCTGGAAGATTTAGGCCCTGAGAGCTGAAAAGGGACCCTAAACATTACCTGGTGACAACTGCCCTGAGGCCAGAGAAGAGAACTCACAATATTGGTATATTAACCGGTACCATTTGTAGTTAGGCTGTCATTAATCTGGGTGTAATGGGGCTCAGCTACAGAGAAGCGTATCCAGAGGAAATGTGGGGTTCCTGCAGTCAGCTGGGGCACCGAAAAGACCCAGACTTTAGAACCAGATAAAGGCTGAGTTCGAACCTCTGGTTCTTTTGTGATGTGGTGACCTTGGGCAAATTAATGTGTGAACCTCAGTTTCCTCAACTATAAAATGTAATGAACAATACCTACCACTTACTATTGCTGTGAGGAAGAAAAGAGAGTCAACATGTACCGTGTACAGATTATTGATGTAATTCAATGGTTCTTTTCCCCATCCTCCTAGGAGGTCACTGGGGAGACAGGGGGCAGGGTCAGCCCAGTGCCAAAGGATGGGCAGGATCTGAAGTGTGGAAATGGAGTAAGGCTGTGTCTGTGTCAGAGGTGGGTTGGGAAGATGTGAGACAAACATCACAATTTTGCCTAAGGTGAATCCAACCCACAAGTAGAGCACAGGCCAACAGCAGCTCACTAGTACACATACTTACACCAGCAGCTCACTAGTACACACACTTACACCAGACGCTCACTGGTACACACTCACACCAGAAGCTCATTAGAACACACACACCGTCAGCTTGCTAGTACACACACTTACACCAGAAGCTCACTAGTATACACTTACACCAGAAGCTCACTAGTACACACACTTACTCCAGAAGCTCACTAGTACACACACTTACACCCACAGAGACAAGCCCCACACCACACGGACTCACAAATGCAGAAGAAGAGTTGACCCTGCCCTCATGTACAGATAGTATGCTGGTGTGTAGTGAGAGGCGGCTAGTGTTCGCCACGCCTGTTGCATCAATAACTATTCCACAGAACAGCATACATGGTCAAGGAATATTTTTAATATTTACAATGAGGACTGAGTGTTTGCTAAATGAAGAAATCAAAGGAGTACATTCTGGAGGGCTGGTAGACTCCCAGAGCCAGGGTTTTTGAGATGAGAGTGAAAATAAGCAGGCTGAGAGCAGAAAGAAAGAAAGTTCTGCAGATAGAAGTTAGGATATTACCACTTCGGCCCCAGCCCAGCCAGTAAATGTTTAGAAGCATAGTAGTAATTAGCAGGTAGGAGTTGTGGGGAGGAAAGGAAACTGACATGATGGGAAGCAGGACCAGCTACAAAATCTTCAGGACCAGCTCAGAATGAAAATGCCGGGGCTCGTGTTAAATCTTAGGATTTCAACATGGTGACAGCAGAGCACTAAACCAAGCAGGGGGCCCTTCTAGCAGGAGGCCCCATGGGGACCTAGGAAGGAGGTCACATCCATACAAATGTAAAGAAATGTCAGAGTAAATTTCCTCCATTGTCCAGGAGATTCGGAATAGGTTCTCCTAAGACTGATATTTCTTCATTTTAATAGAGTTGCTCAGAAATGAAAAACAATCAATGGGAAGAAAAAGAAAAAAAAAAAAGATAAGATGAGTAGGAGGGCAGGTCCAAAAGAAGTGATTCAGCAAAATGAAAGGGGTCCTCAGGGATTAAAGGGGATGAATTTACCTGTCATCCCTAAGAATCTACAAAGGAGATGCTCAGGACAGAAACTGTATCAACACAACTAGTAGCAAGAAGTTACTCTGATGATATCAGATGTTTATTTGGGAAACTTGCTAGTAGAGAAAGCTACATATAATATTTGGATGCAAAGGGACACAGAAGGTTGAAGAGTCCCTAATTTTGAAATAAGGGAAGATGACTAACTGTCTGAGCTGAGAAAACTCAGGGGTACCTGGAGGCAGAGGAATGGATAAGATGACTTCATGCACCACAAAAAGAAAAAACCTCACATTCTCATGAACGCACTGTAAAACCAAAGGATGTCCTCATGTGAATGCAAAAAATAGGCCATCTGTAAATCCAAAGAAAGCCCCCAGATCTAAAATGTCTCCCTCATCCCAGATTCCCCTTCATTCCTGAGCACCTTAGATTTGGTATAAATAACCTGCTTGGGAGGGGGCTTTTTGAATTCGTACATAATTTAACCTTCACACAGTTTCTGCAAAGTCAGAATGGTGATTATTACCTCACATGCAGAAAAAAGTGATAGGAATTTCTGTCTTAAAAGTCTTGTTGGTGGACAAAGGAAGTTCTAGGATTTGGATCTTGTTTTTTTGGGTTCCAATCCCTTGCTCCAGTTAAAAAACTACCACATAAAATGGTGAGAAGTAGGTAGGCAAGTTTTTATTGATAGAGAGGAAATCAAATAATGGCAATGAGGAGACATCACCTGGAATGTTAGGCAGTGCCTAACTGGGGGATGGACAGACAATGGGCAGTGCCAACCCATAGGGTGGATACAAAAGACAGGCAAGGAAGGGGTAGAACCATCAAAGAGGAATAGGCTGGTGACCCCAAAGCAAGGAGGACCTAGTAACATAATTGTGCTTCATTATGGTCCTTTCCCGGCCTTCTCTCTCACACATACACAGAGCCCCTACCAGGACCAGACAGCTCTTAGAGCAACCCTAGCCCCATTACCTCTTCCCTTTCCAGAGGACCTGAAAAACGTGTTCCCACCCAAGGTCGCTGTGTTTGAGCCATCAGAAGCAGAGATCTCCCACACCCAAAAGGCCACACTGGTGTGCCTGGCCACAGGCTTCTACCCCGACCACGTGGAGCTGAGCTGGTGGGTGAATGGGAAGGAGGTGCACAGTGGGGTCAGCACAGACCCGCAGCCCCTCAAGGAGCAGCCCGCCCTCAATGACTCCAGATACTGCCTGAGCAGCCGCCTGAGGGTCTCGGCCACCTTCTGGCAGAACCCCCGCAACCACTTCCGCTGTCAAGTCCAGTTCTACGGGCTCTCGGAGAATGACGAGTGGACCCAGGATAGGGCCAAACCTGTCACCCAGATCGTCAGCGCCGAGGCCTGGGGTAGAGCAGGTGAGTGGGGCCTGGGGAGATGCCTGGAGGAGATTAGGTGAGACCAGCTACCAGGGAAAATGGAAAGATCCAGGTAGCGGACAAGACTAGATCCAGAAGAAAGCCAGAGTGGACAAGGTGGGATGATCAAGGTTCACAGGGTCAGCAAAGCACGGTGTGCACTTCCCCCACCAAGAAGCATAGAGGCTGAATGGAGCACCTCAAGCTCATTCTTCCTTCAGATCCTGACACCTTAGAGCTAAGCTTTCAAGTCTCCCTGAGGACCAGCCATACAGCTCAGCATCTGAGTGGTGTGCATCCCATTCTCTTCTGGGGTCCTGGTTTCCTAAGATCATAGTGACCACTTCGCTGGCACTGGAGCAGCATGAGGGAGACAGAACCAGGGCTATCAAAGGAGGCTGACTTTGTACTATCTGATATGCATGTGTTTGTGGCCTGTGAGTCTGTGATGTAAGGCTCAATGTCCTTACAAAGCAGCATTCTCTCATCCATTTTTCTTCCCCTGTTTTCTTTCAGACTGTGGCTTCACCTCCGGTAAGTGAGTCTCTCCTTTTTCTCTCTATCTTTCGCCGTCTCTGCTCTCGAACCAGGGCATGGAGAATCCACGGACACAGGGGTGTGAGGGAGGCCAGAGCCACCTGTGCACAGGTACCTACATGCTCTGTTCTTGTCAACAGAGTCTTACCAGCAAGGGGTCCTGTCTGCCACCATCCTCTATGAGATCTTGCTAGGGAAGGCCACCTTGTATGCCGTGCTGGTCAGTGCCCTCGTGCTGATGGCCATGGTAAGGAGGAGGGTGGGATAGGGCAGATGATGGGGGCAGGGGATGGAACATCACACATGGGCATAAAGGAATCTCAGAGCCAGAGCACAGCCTAATATATCCTATCACCTCAATGAAACCATAATGAAGCCAGACTGGGGAGAAAATGCAGGGAATATCACAGAATGCATCATGGGAGGATGGAGACAACCAGCGAGCCCTACTCAAATTAGGCCTCAGAGCCCGCCTCCCCTGCCCTACTCCTGCTGTGCCATAGCCCCTGAAACCCTGAAAATGTTCTCTCTTCCACAGGTCAAGAGAAAGGATTCCAGAGGCTAGCTCCAAAACCATCCCAGGTCATTCTTCATCCTCACCCAGGATTCTCCTGTACCTGCTCCCAATCTGTGTTCCTAAAAGTGATTCTCACTCTGCTTCTCATCTCCTACTTACATGAATACTTCTCTCTTTTTTCTGTTTCCCTGAAGATTGAGCTCCCAACCCCCAAGTACGAAATAGGCTAAACCAATAAAAAATTGTGTGTTGGGCCTGGTTGCATTTCAGGAGTGTCTGTGGAGTTCTGCTCATCACTGACCTATCTTCTGATTTAGGGAAAGCAGCATTCCCTTGGACATCTGAAGTGACAGCCCTCTTTCTCTCCACCCAATGCTGCTTTCTCCTGTTCATCCTGATGGAAGTCCTCAAACACCATTTCCATACCCAGGCATTCTGGGTCCCCACTGGAGGGTTAGTCTGAAGGGCAATGGCTGGGCTTTGGAAAACCAGCAAGATGAGGACAGAGAGGAAGGCACACAGCAAACCATAAGCCCTTACCCAGTGCAGGACAGAGGATGCGGGCAGACCTATGGGTTACAATGTCTGGTCATTTCCCAATTCCAGATTAAACTGTCACCTGTTTTACCTTTAGTTTTATTAGTTTGTAGTCTTAACACCTCCAGCTTCTCTTGTTTCAGGATTTGGGCTTAAAATTGAGTGCTACTCTGCATGTCTAGTTTGAAATACTAGAGAAGGCAGAGTTGAGACAACTGATATGTAAAGCCTGGGGAAGAGTGATTTCTCAGGAGCGAGACACACTAAGTCAGGAGCAATGGGATATAGGGCCCAGTGGGGGCTGAAGTGCTATGTTCAGAGTAGCCCTTCCAATGGGCTTCTTCGTTTGATGGATGGAAACCAAACCACTCCAAACACAAGGTGTTAACTGCTCCTACTTGGGCAAAGACAGTTATCCTGTCAAGGTAAATTCTGCATACAGGCTGAATGCATTGTGGTAAAACACTACATGGAGGAAGAGGAGGAATGGGATTAAAGAAAAGGAGGCCTAGAACAGTGAGAGGGGCTGAGAGAGGCCATGTCGAAGTTAGTTGAGGAAGACTGTCAGGGGAGAGAAGAGAAGTCTGAAAGCAGAGAAAGGTTGGGAAAGAGGAGGGAGCCCTTTGTTGAGAGCCTGCTTGCTTCAGGCCTCAGGCTGGACGCTGCTACCTGTGCTGTCTGCATCTGCACAATGATCCCAGGAACAGGTATTATTTTCCCCATGTTATAGATGTGGAAACTGAAGATTACAGTTCAAATTACTTATGAGTTGTGAAACCGTGGCATGTTCTGCTGAAGATGGCAATTCTGGAAACTTTTTCCAAGTAGTTACCAGGATGGTGGGATTGCTCCTGGTATCTGGGTGATCCTAGAGCAGCTTCTCCCAAACTCCAGGCAGGGCCCATGGTAACACACTGAAGACACCTTAATGCCTTGGTGTCTTTGTTTCCCACGGCTGCCGTAACAAAGTACCACTGGTGGGTTTAAAACAATAAAAACTTATTCTCTCACAGTTCTGGAGGCTAAAGATACAACACCAAGATGTCAGCGGGTCATCCTGTATGACAGCTCTAGGGGAGAATCCTTTCCTGCTTCTTCCCATGTCTGATGGCTTCTGGCACTCCTTGGCTTGTGCCAGCATCGCAGCAATCTCTGCCTCTGTCTTCACATGGCATTTTCCCTGTGTCTCTGCATTTAAGCTCCCCTCTCCTTTCTCTTTTCAAGGCATGGTCTTAGGATTTAGGGCCCACCCTAAATCCAGAACAATTTTATTGAGAGATCTTAACAAATTATACCTGCCAAGTCCCTATTTCCAAATAAGGTCACATTCTGAGTTTCTGAGTGGGCATGAATTCTGGGGGAACACTCTTCTTCCCACTACACTGGGGATCTTGGAACTGGAGAAGAGGGTTCTCTGGTGGCAGCTTGCAAAGACCAGGAAAGGATGTGCTCACAGCAGGGATGGGGCCCAGGAAACTCATCACATGCCGGTCATTTCCATCAGTCGTAACTATCTCTAGACTGCTCAAAATGCAGTATAGTATTTTGTTGGCTATTGTTGTTACATATGTGCTGGTTTGTTTTTATATTGGCTAAAAAAAAGCCTAAAACAAAGGGGACAGGCTTTAGGCCCTAGACCAACATTCATGCTTCCCACTCCTTAGACCTGCGTGGAGGCAGCAGGCATATCCTTGTGGCTCCTCGCAAAGGTAGGACAGGAGGATGAGCAGCCGAGGGAACAAGGAAGCACTTCAGAGAGAGCAGAACTGTGGGGGCCAGAGGGCGCAGGCTAGGACTGGGGATATTGGAGGATAGTGGTTTGTGTGGGCAGAGCTGTGAGGGGCTGAGCAGCTGTAGTGCAAGATTAGAGTGGAGGTGGGAAGGGGGAAACACCTTGTAGAAGAAAGATAGTGTCTGTTAGTTTGATGGCCATCATCTTGGGGACGTGGAAAACGGAGGCATTAGCAGGTGGGAGGATGTGGGAGGAGTTTCTTGTTAGTACCCTAGAGTTTGCAATCAGACCCAGGTGAATGAATTCTCCTCTGGAGGATAAAAGGCCATGTGAATTTTACCCTCTCAGTCCAGGGGACTTGACAGAGATGGAGAGAGCTTCAAGCTCCATCTGGTCCTCCCAACACCCTACTTGACCCAGGGCAGGTTCCTCTTCCCAAGTTTTTACAGCCATTTCCTTGTCTCTCTCAAACAACACCCCCAACATTCAGCACGCATGCACTGGGAAGTGAATCTCTTCTGCCTCTACCTGCCTTTTTCTCTAGAATCGAAGTGGATTCTTCTGGGCCAATTCTGGGCATCCTCTCCATTCTTCCTCAGGTAACACTGAGAAAAGATGAGTTCGATGTAGGGCAATAATATAACTTACTGTAAGAATTGAGATACCATTGAAAATGAAAGGGGCCCATTGGCCACATGGGATGCTGGAACAAGAGGAGTAAACCAGGAATGGTCACAAGGCCCCTCCAGTGGAGAGGCTCTGAGGGAGTTTCTGGGTGCAGCATTATTCCTGCAAAGGGAGGTACTAAAGGGACTCCACACCAACCTGGACTTGTTGACTGGTTCAAACCTCAGGGCTGACCTAAGCATCATCCTATGAAGAAACCATGTGGACAGAATATAGGGCAAGGCAGGGACAACAGCATCCAACACAGGTGACACCCAGTGCAGAGCAAAGCATGCTTACTTATTGAAAAGAGTTACAAGAAAAGCATCTCTGGAAGAATGTCTAGGGTACCCCAAGTTCTCGCTGAACTTAGCATGGAGTAGCTCTTAAAGAGAAGAACTTCACCTGTGACCTTTACAGATTTATTTGGGAAATTGGAAGAAAAAGGGGGTCATCCAAATGGTTGTGTAATAAAATAACTTCTTTGTGGGGGAAATGGGATTCCCGTGAGCATCCCAGAGCCCCAGTCACCATCACTTCCTGAGAGGAAGAATCTTCCCATCAGCACCAGTATCCATAGAGATTTTCCTACTACTAGGCTCATTGCTGGGCCACATAAGGTTGGGGAGTGGGGATGGTCGGGAGCTGCTGGGACAATCCAAGAGAAAAAGGCTTTTTCTCTCTCAAGGGAGTGATTTCATAATAAGAGTTTGAGATAAGGGCAATGGATCCTAATAGATATTAAAGTCTCCATTTCCGTCCCTGAGCCATTTCCTCATTTTTCTTCTGTAGTGGCCCAGAAAGGAGGGGTGGAGATAGACTGATATCAGCCCCTAACAGTCTGTGTGACACACAGCCCCAAATGTCCTATATAGGAGAATCTTTGTGAGGTTTCTCTGGTTATAAATGAATGTGGGAATGGAATATTGGTGCTTTGAGACCTCTGTTGAAGCTGCATAGTGAAAACAAAAATGAGTTTTTGCTTCTTCCTCAGGTAACACTGAGCAAAGATGTCTAGCCATATTTTCATTTAGGGGTGTTGGGAGATGCTGGTGGAGATCACGGGAATGGCTAAAACCCAGAGGTGAACTCAGCTTTGCCATGGACCCATGAGTGAATCCATTTTCTGCTTCTCTACTGACATCTCAGACTCATCACCAGGTTCACTTTTACCATGTCCTAGAAACTCCCCTATGCTATATAAGAAGACTCATAGTATAGAATGGCATGAAGCATGGCCAACAGTTTTAATCACAGTTCATTTCCATTGCTTGTGGCAAACTCCCATGGCTCCCAAAAAGCTGATTTCTGAGGCTTGGGACCCCATAACCTAAGACTACCCAACCCACCTAGACTCAAACAC